>NC_000001.11:124978326-125013060 GCF_000001405.40 Homo sapiens | reverse complement strand
AGGATTGCCATTCTAACTGGTGTGAGATGGTATGTCATTATGGTTTTGATTTGCATTTCTCTGATAGCCAATGATGGTGAGCCTTTTTTCATGTGTTTTTTGGCTTCATAAATGTCTTCTTTTGAGAAATGTCTGTTCATGTCCTTCACCCATTTTTTGATGGGTTGGTTTGTTTTTTTCTTGTAAATTTGTTTGAGTTCATTGTAGATTCTGGATATTAGCCCTTTGTCAGATGAGTAGGTTGCAAAAATTTTCTCCCATTTTGTAGGTTGCCTGTTCACTCTGATGGTAGTTTCTTTTGCTGTGCAGAAGCTCTTAGCTTAATTAGATCCCATTTGTCAATTTTGTCTTTTGTTGCCATTGCTTTCGATGTTTTAGACATGAAGTCCTTGCCCATGTCTATGTCCTGAATGGTAATGCCTAGGTTTTCTTCTAGGGTTTTTATGGTTTTAGGTTTAATGTTTAAGTCTTTAATCCATCTTGAATTGATTTTTGTATAAGGTTTAAGGAAGGGATTTAGTTTCAGGTTTCTGCATATGGTTAGCCAGTTTTCCCAGCAGCATTTATTAAATAGGGAATCCTTTCCCCATTGCTTGTTTTTCTCAGGTTTGTCAAAGATCAGATAGTTGTAGATATGCGGCGTTATTTCTGAGGGCTCTGTTCTGTTCCATTGATCTATATCTCTGTTTTGGTACCAGTACCATGCTGTTTTGGTTACTGTAGCCCTGTAGTATAGTTTGAAGTCAGGTAGTGTGATGCCTCCAGCTTTGTTCTTTTGACTTAGGATTGACTTGGTGATGTGGGCTCTTTTTTGGTTCCATATGAACTTTAAAGTAGTTTTTTCCAATTCTGTGAAGAAAGGCATTGGTGGCTTGAAGGGGTTGGCATTGAATGTGTAAATTACCTTGGGCAGTATGGCCATTTTCACAATATTGATTCTTCCTACCCATGAGCAAGGAATGTTCTTCCATTTGTTTGTATCCTCTTTTATTTCCTTGAGCAGTGGTTTGTAGTTCTTCTTGAATAGGTCCTTCACATCCCTTGTAAGTTGAATTCCTAGGTATTTTATTCTCTTTGAAGCAATTGTGAATGGGAGTTCATTCATGATTTGGCTCTCTGTTTGTCTATTGTTGGTGTATAAGAATGCTTGTGATTTGTGTACATTGATTATCTATCCTGAGACTTTGCTGAAGATGCTTATCAGCTTAAGGAGATTTTGCGCTGAGACAATGGGGTTTTCTAGATATACAATTCATGTCATCTGCAAACAGGGACAATTTGACTTCCTCTTTTCCTAATTGAATACCCTTTATTTCCTTCTCCTGCCTAATTGCCCTGGCCAGAACTTCCAACACTATGTTGAATAGGAGTGGTGAGAGAGGGCATCCCTGTCTTGTGCCAGTTTTCAAAGGGAATGCTTCCAATTTTTTGCCCATTCAGTATGATATTGGCTGTGGGTTTGCCATAGATAGCTCTTATTATTTTGAGATACTTCCCATCAATACCTAATTTATTGATAGTTTTTAGCATGAAGGGTTGTTGAATTTTGTCAAAGGCCTTTTCTGCATCTATTGAGATAATCATGTGGTTTTTGTCTTTGGCTCTGTTTATATGATGGATTACGTTTATTGATTTGTGTATATTGCACCAGCCTGGCATCCCAGGGATGAAGCCCACTTGATCATGGCGGATAAGCTTTTTGATGTGCTGCTGGATTTGGTTTGCCAGTATTTTATTGAGCATTTTTGCATCAATGTTCATCAGGGATACTGTTTTAAAATTCTCTTTTTCAGTTCTGTCTCTGCCTGACTTTGGTATCAGAATGATGCTGGCCTCATAAAATGAGTTAGGGAGGATTCCCTCTTTTTCTATTGATTGGAATAGTTTCAGAAGGAATGGTACCAGTTCCTCCTTGTACCTCTGGTAGAATTCGGCTGTGAATACATCTGGTCCTGGACTCTTTTTGGTTGGCAAGCTATTGATTATTGCCACAATTTCAGATCCTGTTATTGGTCTATTCAGAGATTCAATTTCTTCCTGGTTTAGTCTTGGGAGAGTGTATGTGTCGAGGAATTTATCCTTTTCTTCTAGATTTTCTAGTTTATTTGCTAGAGGTGTTTGTAGTATTCTCTGATGGTAGTTTTTATTTCTGTGGGATCAGTGGTGATATCCCCTTTATCATTTTTTATTGCGTCTATTTGATTCTTCTCTCTTTTTTTCTTTGTTAGTCTTGCTAGCAGTCTATCAATTTTGTTGATCCTTTCAAAAAACCAGCTCCTGGATTCATTAATTTTTTGAAGGGCTTTTTGTGTCTCTATTTCCTTCAGTTCTGCTCTGATTTTTGTTATTTCTTGCCTTGTGCTAGCTTTTGAATGTGTTTGCATTTCCTTTTCTAGTTCTTTTAATGTGATGTTAGGATGTCAAATTTGGATCTTTTCTGCGTTCTCTTGCTGGACATTTAGTGCTATAAATTTCCCTCTACACACTGCTTTGAATGTGTCCCAGAGATTCTGGTATGTTGGGTCTTTGTTCTCGTTGGTTTCAAAGAACATATTTATTTCTGCCTTCATTTTTTTATGTACCCAGTAGTCATTCAGGAGCAGGTTGTTCAGTTTCCATGTGGTGGAGTGGTTTTGAGTGAGATTCTTAATACTGAGTTCTAGTTTGATTGCACTGTGATCTGAGAGATAGTCTTTTATAAATTCTGTTCTTTTACATTTGCTGAGGAGAGCTTTACTTCCAAGTATGTGGTCAATTTTGGAATAGGTGTGGTGTGGTGCTGAAAAAAAATGTATATTCTGTTGATTTGGGTTGGAGAGTTCTGTAGATGTCTATTAGGTCCGCTTGGTGCAGAGCTGAGTTCAATTCCTGGTTATCCTTGTTGACTTTCTGTCTCGTTGATCTGTCTAATTTTGACAGTGGGGTGTTAAAGTCTCCCATTTTTAATGTGTAGGAGTCTAAGTCTCTTTGTAGGTCACTCAGGACTTGCTTTATGAATCTTGGTGCTCCTGTATTGGGTGCATATATATTTAGGATAGTTAGCTCTTCTTGTTGAATGGATCCCTTTACCATTATGTAATGGCCTTCTTTGTCTCTTTTGATCTTTGTTGGTTTATAGTCTGTTTTATCAGAGACTACGATTGCAACCCCTGCCTTTTTTTGTTTTCCATTTGTTTGGTAGATTATCCTCCATCCTTTTATTTTGAGCCTATGTGTGTCTCTGCACGTGAGATGGGTTTCCTGAATACAGCACACTGATGGGTCTTGTCTCCTTATCCAATTTGCCAGTCTGTGTCTTTTAATTGGAAAATTTAGTCCATTTACATTTAAAGTTAATATTGTTATGTGTGAATTTGATCCTGTCATTTTGATATTAGCTGGTTATTTTGCACGTTAGTTCATGCAGTTTCTTCCTAGTCTTGATGGTCTTTACATTTTGGCATGATTTTGCAGCAGCAGATACCGGTTGTTCCTTTCCATGTTTAGCGCTTCCTTGAGGAGCTCTTTTAGGGCAGGCCTGGTGGTGACAAAATCTCTCAGCATTTGCTTGTCTGTAAAGTATTTTATTTCTCCTTCACTTATGAAACTTAGTTTGGCAGGATATGAAATTCTGGGTTGAAAATTCTTTTTTTTAAGAATGTTGAATATTGGCCCCCACTCTCTTCTGGCTTGTTGGGTTTCTGCCGAGAGATCCGCTGTTAGTGGTAACCCGACCTTCTCTCTGACTGCCCTTAACATTTTTTCCTTTATTTCAACTTCGGTGAATCTGACAATTATGTTTCTTGGGGTTGCTTTTCTCGAGGATTATCTTTCTGGCATTCTCTGTATTTCCTGAATCTGAATGTTGGCCTGCCTTGCTAGATTGGGGAAGTTCTCCTGAATAATATCCTGCAGAGTGTTTTCCAACTTGTTTCCATTCTCCCTGTCACTTTCAGGTGCACCAGTCAGACGTAGATTTGGTCTTTTCACACAGTCCCATATTTATTGGAGGCTTTTCTCGTTTCTCTTTATTCTTTTCTCTCTAAACCTCCCTTCTCACTTCATTTTATTCACTTCCTCTTCCATCACTGATACCCTTTCTTCCAGTTGATTGCATCGGCTCCTGAGGCTTCTGCATTCTTCATGTAGTTCTCAAGCCTTGGTTTTCAGCTCCATCAGCTCCTTTAAGCACTTCTCTGTATTCGTTATTCTAGTTATACATTCTTCTAAACTTTTTTCAAAGTTTTCAACTTCTTTGCCTTTGGTTTGAATGTCCTCCCGTAGCTCAGAGTAATTTGATCATCTGAAGTCTTCTTCTCTCAGCTCTTCAAAGTCATTCTCCATCCAGCTTTTTTCCGTTGCTGGTGAGGAACTGCATTCCTTTGGAGGAGGAGAGGTGCTCTGCTTTTTAGAGTTTCCAGTTTTTCTGTTCTGTTTTTGCCCCATCTTTGTGGTTTTATCTACTTTTGGTCTTTGATGATGGTGATGTACTGATGAGTTTTTGGTGTGGATGTCCTCTCTGTTTGATAGTTTCCCTTCTAACAGAAAGGACCCTCAGCTGCAGGTCTGTTGGAGTACCCAGCCGTGTGAGGTGTCAGTCTTCCCCTGCTTGCGGGTGCCTCCCAGTTAGGCTGCTTGGGGGTCAGGGGTCAGGGACCCACTTGAGGAGGCTGTCTGCCAGTTCTCAGATCTCCAGCTGTGTGCTGGGAGAACCAATGCTCTCTTCAAAGCTGTCAGACAGGGACATTTAAGTCTGCAGAGATTACTGCTGTCTTTTTGTTGTTCTGTGCCCTGTCCCCAGATGTGGAGCCTACAGAGGGAGGCAGGCCTCCTTGAGCTGTGGTGGGCTCCACCCAGTTCGAGCTTCCCATCGGCTTTGTTTTCCTAAGCAAGCCTGGGCAATGGTGGGAGCCCTATCCAGCCTCGCTGCTGCCTTGCAGTTTGATCTCAGGCTGCTGTGCTAGCAATCAGTGACACTCTGTGTGAGCAGGACCCTCCAAGACTTGTGCAGGATATAATCTCCTGGTGCACCATATTTTAAGCCCATTGGAAAAGTGCAGTATTTGGGTGGCAGTGACCCGATTTTCTAGGTGCCATCTGTCACCACTTTCTTTGACTAAGAAAGGGAACTCCCTGACCCTGGCGCTTCCCAAGTGAGGTAATGCCTCCTGCTACTTTGGCTCGTGCACAGTGCACGCACCCACTAACCTGCACCCACTCTCTGGCACTACCTAGTGAGATGAACACGGTACCTCAGATGCAAATGCAGAAATCACCCCTCTTCTGCATCGTTCACCCTGGGAGCTGTAGAATGGAACTCTCCCTATTCGGCCATCTTGGCTGCTCCACCCTGTGTCTAGTTTTTATTTGAAGATATCCCATTTCCAATGAAGGCCTCAAAGAGCTCCAAATATCCACAAGCAGATTTTACAAAAGGAGGGTTTCAAAACTGCTCTATCAAAAGAAAGGTTCAACACTGTGAGTTGATTGCACACATCACAAAGAGGTATCAGAGAGTGCTTCTGTCCAGTTTTTATGTGAAGATATTCCCTTTTCCACCATAGGCCTCAAATCGTTCCAAATATCCACTTGCAGATTCTACAAGAAGACTGTTTCGAAACTGCTCTGTCAAAAGGAAGGTTCAACTCTGTGAGTTGAAGGCACACATCACAAAGTGGTTTCTGAGAATGGTTCTGTCTACTTTATATGTGAAGACATTTCCTTTTCCACCATAGGCCTCAAAGCGCACTAAATGAACACTTGCAGCTTCTTCAAAAAGAGTGTTTCAAAACTGCTCTATCAAAAGAACGGTTCAAATCAGTGAGTTGAATGCACACATCACAAAGAAGTTTCTGAGAGTGCTTCTGTCTACTTTTTATGTGAAGATATTTAATTTTCCACAATAGGCCTCAAATCGCTCCCAATATCCACTTGCAGATTCTGCAAAAAACTGTTTGAAATCTGCTCTATCAAAAGGAAGGTTCAAATCAGTGAGTTGAATGCACAGATCACAAAGAACTTTCTGAGAATGCTTCTGTCTAGTTTTTATGAGAATATATACTCATTTTGAACAAAGGCCCCAAAAATCTCCAAATATCCAATAGCAGATTTTAGAAAAGAAGTGTTTCTGCTCTAACAAAAAAAGTTCAACTCTGTCAGTTGAATGCACACGTCAAAAAGCAGTTTCCGAGAAAGTTTCTGTCTAGTTTTTATGTGAAGATATCCCTTTTCCAACGAAGGCCTCAAAGAGCTCCAAATATCCACCAGCAGATTCTACGAAAGGAGTGTTCCAAAACTTCTGTATCAAAAGAAAGTTTCAACACTGTGAGTCGAATGCACAAATCAGAAAGAAGTTTCTGATAATGCTTCCATCAAGTTTTTATGTGAAGATATTTCCTTTTCCACCATAGGCCTCAAAGCGCTAGAAATATCCACTTGCAGATTCTACAAAAAGATTGTTTCAAAAGTGTTCTCTGAAAAGGAAGGTTCAACTCTATGAGTTGAATGCACACATCACAAAGAAGTTTCTGAGAATGCTTCTGTGTAGTTTTTATGTGAAGATATTTCCTTTCCCATCATAGGCCTCAAAGTCCTCCAAATGAACACTTGCAGATTCAACAAAGTTTTTCAAAACGGCTCTATCAAAAGAAAGGTTCAACTCTGTGAGTTGAATGCACACATCAAAAAGCTGTTTCTGATAATGCTTCTGTCTAGTTTTTATTTGCAGAAATCCGGTTTCCAACGAAGGCCTCAAAGAGCTCCAAATATCCACAAGCAGATTCTACAAAAGGAGTTTTTCAAAACTGTTCTAACAAAGGAAAGTTTCAAAGGTAGGAGTTGAATGCACTCATCACAAAGAAGTTTCAGAGAATGCTTCTGTCAAGTTTTTATATGAAGATATTTCCTTTTCCAAAATGCACTTCAAATAACTCCAAATTTCCACTTCCAGATCCTACAAAATATAGTTTGAAAACTGCTCTATCAAAAGAAAGGTTCAACTCTGTGATTTGAACACACACATCCCAAAGAAGTTTCTGAGAATGCTTCTGTCTAATTTTTATGGGAAGATATCCCGTTTCCAACGAAGGCCTCAAAGAGCTCCAAATATCCACAAGCAGATTCTACAAAAGGAGTGTTTTAAAACTCCTCTATCAAAAGAAAGGTTCAAGGCACTGAGTTTAAAACACATATTAAAAAGAAGTTCCTGAGAATGCTTCTGTCTAGTTTTTATGTGAAGATATTTCCTTTTCCACAATAGGTCTCAAATCGCTCCAAATATTCACTTGCAGATCCTGCAAAAAGACTGTTTGAAAACTGCTCTATCAAAAGGAAGCTTCAACTCTGTGAGTTGAATGCCCACATTACAAACGAATTTCTGAGAATGCTGCTGTGTAGTTTTTATGTGAAGATATTTCTTTTTCCACCATAGGCCTCAAAGCGCTCCAAATGAACACTTGCAGATCCTACAAAAAGAGTGTTTCAAGCTGCTGTATCAAAAGAAAGGTTCAACACTATGAGTTGCATGCACACATCACAAAGAACTTTCTGAAAATGCTTCTGTCTACTTTTTATGAGATGATATTGCCGTTTCCAATGAAGGCCTCAAAAGTCTCCCAATATCCACTAGCTGATTCTAGAAAAGGAGTGTATCATAACTGCTCTTTCAAAAGAAATGTTCAACTCTTTTAGATAAATGCACACATCACAAAGAATTTCCTGAGAATGTTTCTGTGTAGGTTTTATGTGAAGCTATTTCCTTTTCCACCACAGGCTACAAAGCTCTCCAAATGAACACTTGCAGGTTCTAAAAAAAAAAAGGGTTTAAAAACTGCTCTATCAAAATGAAGGTTCAACTCTGTGAGTTGAGTGCACACATCAAAAAGCAGTTTCTGAGAATGCTTCTGTCTAGTTTTTATTTGAAGATATCCCGTTTCCAACAAAGGCCTCAAAGATCTCCAAATATCCACAAGCAGATTCTACAAAAGGAGTGTTTCAAAACTGCTCTATCAAAAGAAAGATTCAACTCCATGAGTTGAATGCACACATCATAAAGAAGTTTCTGAGAATGCTTATCTCTAGTTTTTATGTGAAGACATTTCTTTTCCACCTTAGGCCTCAAGGCACTAAAAATATCCACTTGCAGATTCTACATAAAGACTGTTTCAAAAGTGCTCTCTCAAGAGGAAAGTTCAACTTTGTGCCTTGAATGCACCCATCACAAAGTAGTTTCTGAGAATGCTTCTGTCAAGTTTTTATGTGAAGATATTTCCTTTTCCACCATAGGCCTCAAATCGTTCCATATTTTCACTTCCGGATGCTACAAAAAGACTGTTTCAAAACTACTCTATCAAAAGCAAGGTTCAAACATGTGAGTTGAATGCACACATCACAAAGAAGTTCCTGAGAAAGCTTCTGTCTACTTTTTACATGAGGATATTTCCTTTTCCACAATAGGCTTCAAATCGCTCAAAGTATCCACTTGCAGATTCTGCAAAAAGACTGTTTGAGAACTGCTCTATCAAAACGAAGGTTCATCTCTGTGAGTTGTATGAAGACATCACAAAAGGAGTTTCTGAGAATGCTTCTGTGTAGTTTTTATGTGGAGATATTTCCTTTTCCGCCATAGGCCTCAAAGCGCTCCAAATGAACACTTCCAGATACTACAAAAAAGTGTTTCAAAACTGCTCTATCAAAAGAAAGTTTCAACTCTCTGAGTTGAGTGTACACATCACAAAGAACTTTCTGAGAATCCTTCTGTCTACTTTTTATGAGATGATATTCCTGTTTCCAAAGAAGGCCCCAAAAATCTAAAAATATCCACTAGCAGATTCTAGAAAAGGAATGTTTCAAAACTGCTCTATCAAAAGAAATGTTCAACTCTGTTAATTGAATGCACACATCACAAAGAAGTTCCTGAGCATGCTTCTGCCTGGTTTTTATGTGAAGATATTTCCTATTCCACCGTAGGCCTCAAACAGCTCCAAAGGAACAATTGCAGACTCTACAAAAAAACTGTTTCAAAACTGCTCTATCAAAAGAAAGGTTCAACTCTGTGAATTGAATGCACACATCAAAATGCAGTTTCAGAGAATGCTTCTGTCTAGTTTTTACTTGAAGATATCCCGTTTCCAACGAACGCCTCAAAGAGCTCCAAATATCCTCAAGCAGATCCTATAAAAGGAGTGTTTCAAAACTGCTCTATCAAAAGAAAGGTTCAACGCTGTGACATGAATGCACATACTACAAAGAAGTTTCTGAGAATGCTTCTGTCAAGCTTTTATGGGAAGGTATTACCTTTTCCACCATAGGCCTCTAATCGCTCCAAATTTCCACTTCAAGATCTTACAAAAAGACCATTTAAAAACTGTTCTTTCAAAAGGAAGGTTCAACTCTTTGAGTTGAATGCACACACCACAAAGAAGTTTCTGGGAATGCTTCTGTCTAGTTTTTATCTGCAGATATCCCGTTTCCAACAAGAGTCTCAAAGAGCTCAAAATATCCACAAGCAGATTCCACAAAAGGAGTGTTTCAAAACTGCTCTATCAAAAGAAAGGTTCAACTCTGTGAGTTGAATGCACACATCACAAAAAAGTTCCTGAGAATGCTTCTGTCTAGTTTTTATGAGAAGATATTTCCTTTTCCACAATAGGCCTTAAATCTCTCCAAATATCCATTTGCAGATTCCGAAAAAGACTGTTTGAAAACTGCTCTATCAAAAGGAAATTTCAACTCTGTATGTTGAATGCACACATCACAAATAAGTTTCTGAGAATGCTTCTGTGTAGTTTTTATGTGAAGATATTTCCTCTTCCACCATAAGCCTCAAAACGCTCCAAATGAACACTTGCAGATCCTACAAAAAGTGTGTTTCTAAAGTGCTCTATCAAAAGAAAGGTTCAACTCCATGAGTTGAATGCATACATCACAAAGAACTTTCTGAGAATGCTTCCATCTACTTTTTATGAGATGATATTCCCGTTTCCAATGAAGACTTCAAAAATCTCCAAATATCCACAAGCAGATTCTAGAAAAGGAGTGTTTCAAAACTGCTTTATCAAAAGAAAGGTTCAACTCTGTGAGTTGAATGTACACATCACAAAGAAGTTGCTGAGCATGCTTCTGTCTAGTATTTATGAGAAGATATTTCTTTTTCCACAATAGGCCTCAAATCGCTCCAAATATCCACTTCAGGTTCCTCAAAAACACTGTTTGAAAACTGCTCTATCAAAAGGAAGGTTCAATTCTGTGAGTTGAATGCAAAGGAGTTTCTGAGAATGCTTCTGTGTAGTTTTTATGGGAAGATATTTCCTTTTCCAACATAGGCCTCAAAGCGTTCCAAATGACCACTTGCACTTCCTATAAAAAGGGTGTTTCAAAAATGCTCTATCAAAAGAAAGGTTCAACTCTATGAGTTGAATGCACACATCACAAATAACTTTCTGAGAATGCTTCTGTGTAATTTTTATGAGATGATATTCCCGTTTCCAACGAACTCCCCAAAAATCTCCAAATATCCACTAGCAGATACTAGAAAAGGTGTGTTTCAAAACTGCTCTATCAAAAGAAAGGTTCAACTCTGTGAGTTGAATGCACACATCACAAAGGAGTTTCTGAGAATGCTTCTGTGTAGTTTTTATGAGAAGATATTTCCTTTTCCACAATAGGCCTCAAATCGCTCCAAATATCCACTTGCAGATTCTGCAAAAAGACTGTTTGAAAACTGCTCTATCCAAAAGAAGGTTCAATTCTGTGAGTTGAATGCACACATCACAAAGGAGTTTCTGAGAATGCTTCTGTGTAGTTTTTATGTGAAGATATTTCCTTTTCCACAGTAGGCCTCAAAGCGTTCCAAATGAACAATTGCTGATCCTAAAAAAGAGTGTTTCTAAACTGCTGTATCAAAAGAAAGGTTCAATTCGATGAGTTGAATGTGCACAACAAAGAGAATTTTCTGAGAACGCTTCTGTCTAATTTTAATGAGAATATATTCCCGCTTCCAATGAAGGCCTCAAAAATCTTCAAATATCCACCAGCAGATTTTAGAAAAAAGTGTTTCAAAACTGCTCTATCAAAAGAAATGTTCAACTCTGTTAGTTGAATGCACACATCACAAAGAAGTTCCTGAGAATGCTTCTGTCTAGTTTTTATGTGAAGATATTTCCTTTTCCACCATAGGCGTCAAAGCACTCCAAATGAACACTTGCAGATTCTACAAAAAGAGTGTTTCTAAACTGCTCTATCAAAAGAAAGGTTCAATTCCGTGAGTTGAATGCACACATCACAAAGCAGTTTCTAAGAACGCTTCTGTCTAGATTTTATTTGAACATATCCTGTTTCCAATGAAGGCCTCAAAGAGCTCCAAATATCCACAAGCAGATTCTACGAAAGAGTGTTTCAAAACTGATCTATCAAAAGAAAGGTTTAACGCTGTGAATTGAATGCACACATCATAAGGAAATTTCTGAGAATGTTTCTGTCAAGTTTTTATGTGAAGATATATCCTTTTCCACCATAGGCTTCAAATCGCTCCAAATTTCCACTTCGAGATCCTACAAAAAGACTGTTTCATAACAGTTCAATCAAAAAGAAGGTTCAATTCTGTGACTTCAATGCACACATTACAAAGCAGTTTCTGAGAATGATTCTGTCTAGGTTTTATTTGAAGATATAAAGTTTCAAATGAAGACCACAAATACCTTCAAAAATCCACAAGCAGATTCTACAAAAGGAGTGTTTCAGAACTGCTCTATAGAAAGAAAAGTTCAACACTGTCATTTGAATGCATACATCATAAAGTAATTTCTGAGAATGCTTCTGTCAAGTTTTTATGTGATGATATTTCCTTTTACACAATAGACCTCAAATTGCTCCAAATATCCAATTGCACATTCTGCAAAAAGACTGTTTCAAAACTGCCCTATCAAAAGAAAGGTTCAACTCTGTGAGTTTAATGCACACATCACAAAGCAGCTTCTGAGAATGCTTCTGTCTAGTTTTTATGTTAACATATTCCCGTTTCCATCGAAGTCCTCAAAAATATCCAAATATCCACCAGCAGATCCTACGAAAGAAAAGTTTCAAAACTGCTCTATCAAAAAAGAGGTTCAACACTGTTAGTTGAATGCACACATCACAAAGCAGTTTCTGAGAATGCTTCTGTCTAGTTTTTATGTGAAAATATCCCGTTTCAACCATAGGCCTCAAATCGTTCAAAATATCCACTTACAGATTCTACAAGAAGACTGTTTCAAAACTGCTCTATCAAAAGAAAAGTTCAACTCTGTGAGTTGAATGCACAGAGCACAAAGAGGTATCTGAGAATCATTCTGTCAAGTTTTTATGTGAAGATATTTCCTTTACCACCATAGGCCTCAAATCTCTCCAAATATCCACTAGGAGATCCTACAAAAAGTCTGTTTCTAAACTGCTCTTTCAAAAGAAGGTTCAACTCTGTGAGTTGAATGCACATATCACAAAGAAGTTTCTGACAAATCTTATGTCTAGTTTTTATGTGAAGATATTTCCTTTTCCACCATAGGCCTCAAAGGGCTCCAAATGAACACTTGCAGATTCTACAAAAAGGATGTTTCAAAACTGCTCTATCAAAAGAAAGTTTCAACCATGTGAGTTGAATGTATACATCACAAAGAAATTTCTGAGAATGTTTCTGTCAAGTTTTAACGTGAAGATATTACCTTTTCAATCATAGGCCTCAAGTCACTCCAAATTTCCACTTCCAGATCCTACAAAAAGACTGTTTCAAAACTGTTCTTTCTAAAGGGAGGTTCAACTCCTTAAGTTGAATGCATACAACACAAAGAAATTTCTGAGAATGCTTCTGTCTGGTTTTTATGTGCAGATATCCCCTTTCCAACAAAGGCCTCAAATAGCTCCAAATATCCACAAGTAGATTCTACAAAAGGAGAGTTTCAAAACTGCTCTATCAAAAGAAAAGTTCAACTCTGCGAGTTTAATGGACGGAGCACATAGAAGTTTCTGAGAATGCTTCTGTATAGTTTTTATGTGAAGATATTTCCTTTGCCACCATAGGCCTCAAAGCGCTCCAAATGAATACTTGCAGATTCTACAAAAAGAGTGTTTCAAACTGCTCTATAAAAAGAAAGATTCAACTCTGTGAGTTCAACACACACATCATGAAGCATTTTCTGAGAATACTTCTGTCTAGTTTTTATGGGAAGATATCCGGTTTCCAAAGAAGGCCTCAAAGAGCTCCAAATATGAACGAGCAGACTTCACAATAGGAGTGTTTCAAAACTGCTCTATCAAAAGAAAGGTTCAACTCTGTGAGTTGAATGCACACATCACAGCGAAGTTTCTGAGAATGCTTCTTACTAGTTTTTACATGAAGATATTTCCTTTTCCACCATAAGCCCCAAATCGTTCCAAATATCCACTTGCAGATTCTACAAGAAGACAGTTTCAAAAATGCTCTGTCAAAAGTAAGGTTCAACTCTGTGAGATTTAGGCCCACATCACATAGAAGTTTCTGAGAATGCTTCTGTCTAGTTTTTATGTGAAGATATTTCCTTTTCCACCATAGGCCCCAAAGTGTTCCAAAAGAACACTTGCAGATTCTAGAAAAAGAGGGCTTCAAAACTGCTCTGTCAAAAGAAATGTTCAACTCTGTGAGTTGAATGCACACATCACAAAGCAGATTCTGAGAAAGCTTCTGTCAAGTTTTTATGTGATGATATTTCCTTTTCCACCATAGGCCTGAAATCGCTCCAAATATTCACTTGGAGATCCTACAGAAAGACTGTTTCAAAACAGCTCTCTCAAAAGGACGTCCAAATCTGTGAGTTGAATGCACACATCACAAAGATGTTCTAGAGAATGCTTCTGTCTAGTTTTTCTGTGAAGATATTCCCTTTTCCACCATAGGTCTCAAATCATTCCAAATATCCACTTGCAGATTCTAAAAAAAGACTGTTTCAAAACTGCTCTGTCAAAAGGAGGTTCAACTTTGTGAGTTGATGGCACACATCACAAAGAAGTTTCTGAGATGCTTCTGTCTAGTTTTTATATGAAGATATTTCCTTTTACACCACAGACCTCAAGGCGAAACAAATGTGCACTTGCTGCTTCTGCAAAAAGAGTGTTTCAAAACTGCTCCATCAAAAGAAAGGTTCAACTCTGTGAGTTTAATGCACTCATCACAAAGCAGTTTCTGAGAACGCTTCTCACTAGCTTTTATCTGAAGATATTCCCGTTTCCAACGAAGGCCTCAAAAATATCTAAATATCCATTAGCAGATCCTAAAAAAGGAGTGTTTCAAAACTGCTCTATCAAAAGCAATGTTCAACACTTTGAGTTGAATGCACACATCACAAAAAGTTTCTGAGAATGCTTCTGTCAAGTTTTTCTGTGAAGATATGCCGATTCCAATGAACTCCTCAAAGAGCTCCAAATATCAACAAGCAGGTTCTACAAAAGGAGTGTTTCAAAACTGCTCTATCAAAAGAAAAGTTCAACCCCGTGGGTTGAATGGCCACTTTGGAAACATTTTCACATAAAAACTAGGCAGAAGCATTCTCAGAAACTTCTTTGTGATGTATGCATTCAACTCACAGAGTTGAACCTTCCTTTTGAGAGAGCAGTTTTGAAACAGTCATTTTGTGGAACCTGCAAGTGGATATTTGGAGCGATTTTAAGCCTATGTTGGAAAAGGAAATATCTTCACAGAAAAACTAGACAGAAGCATTCTCAGGAGCTTCTTTGTGATGTGTGCATTCAACTCACAGCGTGGAACCTTCCTGTTGATAGAGCTGTTTTGAAACGGTCTCTTTGTAGGATCTGCAAGTAGATATTTGGAGCGATTTCAAGCCTGTGGTGGAAAAGGAAACATCTTCACATAAAAACTAGACAGAAGCATTCTTAGAAACTGCTTTGTGATGTATGCATTCAACTCACAGTGTTGAACACTTCTTTTCATGGGGCAGTTTAGAAACTCTTTTTCTAGAATCTGCATTTGGACAGCTTTGAGGCCTATGGTGGAAAAGGAAATAACTTCACATAAAAACTAGACAGAAGCATTCTCAGAAACTACTTTATGATGTGTGCATTCAGTTCACAATGTAGAACCCTCCTGTTCATAGAATTGTTTTGAAACAGTCTCTTTGTAGGATGTGCAAGTGGATATTTGGAGAGATTTGAGGCCTATGTTGGAAAAGGAAATATCTTCACATAAAAGCTGGACAGAAGCATTCTCTGAAACTACTTTGTGATGTGTGCATTCAACTCACAGTGTTGAACATTTCGCTTGATGGAGCAGTTTAGAAACACTCCTTTTCTAGAATCTGCAACTGTTCATTTGGAGGGCTTTCAGGCCTATGGTGGTAAAGGAAATATCTTCACATAAAAACTAGACCTAAGCTTTCTCAGAAACCTCTTTGTGATGTGCGCATTCAACTCACAGAGTTGAATCTTCGTTTTGATAGAGCAGTTCTGAAACACTCCTTTTGTAGAATCTGCTAGTGGATATTTGGAGATATTTGAGGACTTCGTTGGATACGGGAATAACTTCAGATAAAAACTAGTCAGAAGCATTCTCAGAAACTGCTTTGTGATGAGTGCATTCAACTCACAGAGTTGAACTTTTCTTTTGATGAAGCAGTTTTGAAACACTCTTTTTGTATATGCTGCAAGTGTTCAGTTAGTGCACTTAGAGGCCTAAGGTGGAAAAGGAAATATTTTTACATAAAAACTAAACAGAAGCATTCTCAGGAACTTCTTTCTGATGTGTCTCTAAAACTCAAAGAGTTGAACGTTGCTTTTGACAGAGCAGTTTTGAAACAGTCTTTTTGTAGGATCTAGAAGTGGAAATTTGGAGTGATATCAGGCCTATAGTGGAAAAGGATATATCGTCACATAAAAACTGGACAGAAGCATTCTCAGAAACTTCTTTGCGATGTGTCCATTCAACTCACAGAGTTGAACCTTTCTTTTGATAGAGCAGTTTTGAAACACTCCTATTATAGAATATGCTTGTGGATATTTGGAGGTCTTTGAGGCCTTCGTAGGAAACTGGATATCTTCACAAAAAACCAGACAGAAGCATTCTCAGAAACTGCTTTGTGATGTGCACATTCAACACACTGAGTTGAACATTTCTTTTTTAAGAGCAGTTATGAAACTCTCTTTTTCTAGAATCTTCTAGTGTTCATTTGGAGAGCTTTGAGGCATATAGTGGAAAAGGGAATATCTTCAAATAAAAATTAGACAGAAGCATCCTCAGAAACTTCTTGGTGATGTGTGCCTAAAACTCACAGAGTTGAATCTTCCTTTTGACAGAGCAGTTTTGAAACAGTCTTCTTGAGGAATCTTTAAGTGGATATTTAAGAGGATTTGAGGCCTTTGGTGGAAAACGGTATATCTTCACATAAACACTAGTCAGAAGAGTTCTCAGAAACTGCTTAGTGATGTGTGCATTCAACTCAGAGAGTTGAACATTTCTTTTGATAGAGCAGCTTGGAAACACTCCCATTGCGGTATCTGCTTGTAAATATTTGGAGTTCTTTGAGGCCTTCATTAGAAATGGAATATCTTCACATAAAAATTCGACAGAAGCATTCTCAGAAACTGCTTGGTAATGTGTGCATTCAACTCAAAGGGTTGAACCTTCCTTTTCATAGAGCTGTTTTGAAACAGTCTCTTTGTAGGATCTGCAAGTGGATACTTGGAGCAAATTCAGGCCTATGGTGGAAACAAAAATATCTTCACATGAAAATTTGACAGAAGCATTCTCAGAAACTGCTTGGTAATGTGTGCATTCAACTCAAAGGGTTGAACCTTCCTTTTCATAGAGCTGTTTTGAAACAGTCTCTTTGTAGGATCTGCAAGTGGATACTTGGAGCAAATTCAGGCCTATGGTGGAAACAAAAATATCTTCACATGAAAATTTGACAGAAGCATTCTCAGAAACTGCTTTGTGATGTGTGCATTCAACTCACAGATTTGAACGTTACTTTTTAAAGAGCAGTTTTGAAACACTCTTTTTCTACAATCTTCTAGTGTTCATTTTGAGTGCCTTGAGGCATAAGGTGGAAAAGGAAATATCTTCACATAAAAACTAGACAGAAGCATTATCAGAAACTGCTTTGTGATGTGTGAATTCAACTCAGAGAGTTGACTACTTCTTTAGAAAGAGTAGTTAAGAAACACTCTTTTTTAAAAATCTGCAATTGTTCATATGGACCGTTTTGAGGCCTACGGTGGTAAAGGAAACATCTTCTCATAAAAACTAGGCAAAAGCATTCTCTGAAACCTCTTTGTGATGTATGCATTCAACTCACAGAGTTGAAAATTCCTTTTGAGAGAGCAGTTTTGAAACAGTCTTTTTGTAGGATCTGCAAGTGGATATTTGGAACAATTTGAAGCCTATGTTGCAAAGGAAATATCTTCACATAAAAGCTTGACAGAAGCATTCTCAGAAACTGCTATGTGATGTGTGCATTCAACTCACAGAATAAAATATTTCTTTTCATAGAGCAGTACTGAAACACTACTTTTGCAGAATCTGCTTGTGGATATTTGGAGCTGTTTGAGGATTTCGTTGGAAACGAGATATCTTCAAATAACAACTAGACAGAAGCATTCTCAGAAACTGCTTTGTGATGTGTGAATTCATCTCAGAGAGTTCAACACTTCTTTAGAAAGAGCAGTTTTGAAACACTCTTTTTCTAGTACCTGAAAGTGTTCATTTGGAGTGCTTTGAAGCCTAAGGTGGAAAAGGAAACATCTTCACATAAAAACTAGGGAGAAGCATTCTCAGAAGCTTCTTTGTGATGTACGCATTCAACTCACAGAGTTGAGCTTTCCTTTTGAGAGAGCAGTTTTGAAACACTCTTTTTGTAGAACCTGCAGGTGGATATTTGTAGTACTTTGAAGCCAATGTTGGAAAAGGAAATATCTTCACAGAAAAACTAGACAGAAGCATTCTCAGGAATTAGTTTGTGATGTGTGCCTTCAGCTCACAGAGGTGAATCTTCCTGTTGAGAGAGCTGTTTTGAAATGGTCTCCTAGTAGGATCTGCAAGTGGATATTTGGAGTGATATCATGCCTATGTTGGAAAAGGAAATATCTTCGCATAAAACCTTGACAGAAGAACTCTCGGAAAATGCTTTGTGAAGTGTGCATTCAACTCACAGAGTTGAACATTTCTTTTGATAGAGCAGTACTGAAACACTACTTTTGTAGAATCTGCTTGTGAATATTTGGAGCTGTTTGAGGATTTCGTTGGAAACGAGATAACTTCAAATAAAAACTAGACAGAAGCATTCTCAGAAACTGCTTTGTGATGTGTGAATTCAACTCAGAGAGTTGAACACTTCTTTAGAAAGAGTAGTATTGAAACACTCTATTATCTGCAAGTGTTCATTTCGACCACCTTGATGCCTATGGTGGAAAAGGAAACATTTTCACATAAAAATTTGGCAGAAGCATTCTCAGAAACTTTTTTGGGATGTATGCATTCAACTCACAGAATTGAAACCTCCTTTTGAGAGAGCAGTTTTGAAACAGTCTTTTTGTAGAATCTGCAAATGGATATTTGGAGCGATTTGAAACCTATGTTGGAAAAGGAAATATCTTCACAGAAAAACTAGACAGAAGCATTCTCAGGAACTTGTTTGTGATGTGTGCATTCAACTCACAGAGCTGAGCATTTCTTCTGAAAGCGCAATACTGAAACTCTACTTTTGTAGAATATACTTGTGGATATTTGGAGCTGTTTGAGGATTTCGTTGGAGACGAAAAATCTTCAAATAAAAAATAGACAGAAGCATTCTCAGAAACTGATTTGAGATGTGTGAATTCAACTCAGAGAGTTGAACACTTCTTTAGAAAGACCAGCTTTGAAACACTCTTTTTCTGGTACCTGCAAGTGTTCATTTGGAGCTCATTGAGGCCTATGTTGGGAAAGGAAACATCTTCACATAACAACTAGGCAGAAGCATTCTCAGAAACTTATTTGTGATGTATGCATTCCACTCACAGAGTTGAACTTTCCTTTTGAGAGAGCAGTTTTGAAACAGTCTTTTTGTGGAATCTGCAAGTGGATATTTGGAGCGATTTGAATTCTATGAAGGAAAAGGAAATATCTTCACAGAAAAACTAGAAGGAAGCATTCTCAGGAACTTGGTTGTGATGTGTGCATTCAGCACACAGAGTTGAACCTTCCTGTTGAAAGAGCTGTTTGGAAACAGTCTCTTTTTACGATCCGCAAGTGGATATTTGGAGCGAATTCAGGCCTATGGTGGAAAAGGAAATATCTTCACATAAAAGCTTGACGGAAGCATTCTCAGAAAATGCTTTGTGATGTGTGCATTCAACTCACAGAATAAAATATTTCTTTTCATAGAGCAGTACTGAAACACTACTTTTGCAGATTCTGCTTGTGGATATTTGGAGCTCTTTGAGGATTTCCTTGGAAACGAGATATCTTCAAGTAACAACTAGACAGAAGCATTCTCAGAAACTGCTTTGTGATAAGTGAATTCAACTGACAGAGTTGAACACTTCTTTAGAAGAGCAGTTTTCAAACACTCTTTTTCTGTTATCTGCAAGTGTTCATTTGGAGAGCTTTGTGGCCTATGGTGGAAAAGGAAACATCTTCACATAAAAACTAGGCAGAAGCATTCTCAGAAACTTCTTTGTGATGTACGCATTTAACTCACAGAGTTGAACCTTTCTTTTGAGAGAGAAGCTTCGAAAATGTCTTTTGGTAGAATCTGCAAGTGGATATTTGGAGTGATTTGAAACCTATTTTGCAAAAGGAAATATCTTCACAGAAACACTAGACAGAATCTCTCTCAGGAACTAGTTTGTGATGTGTGCATTCAGCTGACAGATTTGAACATTCCTGTTGAGAGAGCTGTTTTGATACAGTCTATTTGTAGTATCTGCAAGTGGATATTTGGAGCGGTTTCAGGCCTATGGTGGAAAAGAAAATATCTTCACATAAAAGGTTGAAAGAATCATTATCAGAAAATGCTCTGTGATGTGTACATTCAACTCACAGAGTTGAACACTTCTTTAGAAAGAGCAGTTTTGAAACACTCTTTTTCTAAAATCTGCAAGTGTTCATTTGGAGCACTTTGAGGCCTATGGTGGAAAAGGAAGCCTCTTCACATAAAAACTAGGCAGAAGCATTCTCAGAAGCTTCTTTGTGATGTACGCATTCAACTCACATATTTGAGCCTTCCTTTTGAGAGAGCAGTTTTGAAACAGTCTTTTTGTAGAATCTGCAAGTGGACATTTGGAGTGATTTGAACCCTATGTTGCAAATGAAAGATCTTCACAGAAAACTTCTTCACAGAAAAACTATACAGAAGCTCTCTCAGGAGCTAGTTTGTGATGTGTGCATACAACTGACAGATTTGAAACTTCCTGTTGAGAGAGATGTTTTGATACAGTCTCTTTGTAGGATCTGCAAGTGGATATTTGGAGCGGTTTCAGGCCTGTGGTGGAAAAGAAAATATCTTCACATAAATGGTTGAAAGAATCATTCTCAGAAAATGCTCTGTGATGTGTGTATTCAACTCACAGAGTTGAACACTTCTTTAGAAAGAGCAGTTTTGAAACACTCTTTTTCTAAAATCTGCAAGTGTTCATTTGGAGCGCTAAGAGGCCTATGGTGGAAAAGGAAACATCTTCACATAAAAACTAGGCAGAAGCATTTTCAGAAACTTCTTTGTGATGTACGCATTCAACTCACAGAGTTGAGTCTTCCTTTTGAGAGAGCAGTTTTGAAACAGTCTTTCTGTAGAATCTGCAAGTCGGTATTTGGAGTGATCTGATGCCTATGTTGGAAAAGGAAATATCTTCACAGAAAAACTAGACAGAAGCATTCTCAGGAACTTGTTTGTGATGTGTGCATTCAACTCACAGAGTTGAACATTTCTTTTGATAGAGCAGTACTGAAATCCTACCTTTGTAGAATCAGCTTTTGGATATTTGGAGCTGTTTAAGGATTTCGTTGGAAGTGAATTATCTTCAAATAAATAATAGATAGAAGCATTCTCAGAAACTGATTCGTGAAGTCTGAATTCAACTCAGAAAGTTTAACATTTCTTTAGAAAGAGCAGTTTTGAAACACTCTTTTTCTAGAATCTGCAAGTGTTCATTTGGAGAGCTTTGAGGCCTATGGTGGGAAAGGAAATATATTTACATAAAAACAAGGCAGAAGCATTCTCAGAAACTTCTTTGTGATGTATGCATTCAACTCACAGATTTGAACCTTCCTTTTGAGAGAGCAGTTTTGAAACAGTCTTTTTGTAGAATCTGCAAGTGGATATTTGGAGCGATTTGAAGCCTATGATGCAAAAGAAAATATATTCACAGAAAAACTAGACAGAAGCATTCTCAGGAACTTGTATGTGATGTGTGCATTCAACACACAGAGTTGAACCTTCTTGTTGATAGAGCTGTTTTCAAACAGTCCCTTTGTAGGATCTGCAAGTGGATATTTAGAGTGATTTCAGGCCTTTGGTGGAAAAGGAAATATCTTCATATAAAAGCTTGACAGATTGATTCTCAGAAACTGCTTTGAGATGTGTGCATTCAACTCACAGAGTTGAACATTTCTTTTATTAGAGCAGTTTTGAAACACTACTTTTGTATTATCTGCTTGTGGATATTTGGAGCTTTTTGAGGATTTCATAGGAAACAAGATATCTTCAAATAAAAACTTGACAGAAGCATTCTCAGAAACTGCTTTGTGATGTGTGAATTCAACTCAGAGAGTTGAACAATTCTTTAAAAAGAGCAGCTTTCAAACTCTCTTTTTCTATTATCTGAAAGCATTCATTTGGAACGCTTTGAGGCATACGGTGGAAAAGAAAACATCTTCACATAACTAGTCAGAAGCATTCTCAGAAACCACTTTGTGATGTGTGCATTCTACTCACAGAGTTGAACCTTCCTTTTGAGAGAGCAGTTTTGAAACAGTCTTTTTGTAGAAGCTGCAAGTGGATATTTGGAGCAATTTGAAGCCTATGTTTTAAAAGGAAATATCTTCACAGAAAAACTAGACGGAAGCATTCTCAGGAACATGTTTGTGATATCTGCATTCAAATCACAGAGCTGAACCTTCCTGTTGAGGGAGCTCTTTTGAAACAGTCTGTTTGTAGGATCTGCAAGTGGATATTTCCTGTGATTTCAGGCATACGGTGGAAAAGGAAATTTCTTCACATAAAAGCTTGACAGAAGAATTCTCAGAAACTGCTTTGTGATGTTTGCATTCAACTCACAGAGTTGGACATTTCTTTTGATAGAGCAGTACTGAAACACTACTTTTCTAGAATCCGATTGTGGATATTTGGAGCTGTTTGAGGATTTCGTTGGAAGCGAGATATCTTCAAAAAAGAACTAGACAGAAGCATTCTCAGAAACTGCTTTGTGATGTGTGATTTCAACTGAGAGTTGAACACTTCTTCAGAAAGAGCAGTTTTGAAACACTCTTTTTCTAGAATCCATAAATGTTCATTAGGAGCGCTTTGAGGCCTATGGTGGAAAAGGAAACATCCTCATATAAAAACTAGTCAGAAGCATTCTCAGAAACTTCTTTGTGATGTATGCATTCAACTCACAGAGATGAGCCCTCCTTTCGTGAGAGCAGTTTAGAAACAGTCTTTTTGTAGACTCTACAAGTGGATATTTGGAGCGGTTTGAAGCCTATGCTGGAAAAGGAAATATCTTCACAGGAAAACTAGACAGAAGCATTCTCAGGAACTTGTTTGTGATGTGTGCATTCAGCTTACAGAGCTGAACCTTCCTGATGAGAGTGCTGTTTGAAATAGTATCTTTGTACGATCTGCAAGTGAATATTTGGAGCGATTTCATGCCTATGGTGGAAAAGGAAATATCTTCACATAAAAGCTTGACAGAGGCATTCTCAGAAACTGCTTTCTGAAGTATGCATTCAACTCACGCAGTTGAACATTTCCTTTGATAGAGCAGTACTGAAACACTACTTTTGTAGAATATGCTTGTGGATATTTGGAGATCTTTCAGGATTTCGTTATAAGCAAATTATCTTCAAATAAAAACTAAAGAGAAGCATTCTCAGAAAGTGCTTTGTGATGTGTGAATTCAACTCAGAGAGTTGAACACTTCTTTAGAAAGAGCAGGTTTGAAACACTCTTTTTCTAGAATCTGCAAGTGTTCATTTGGAGCGCTTTGAGGCTTATGTTGGAAAAGGGAACATAGTCACATAACAACTAGGCAGAAGCATTCTGAGAAACATCTTCATAATGTATGCATTCTACTCACAGAGGTGAACATTCCTTTTGAGAGAGCAGTTTTGAAACAGTCTTTTTGTAGAATCTGCAAGTGGATATTTGGAGCGATTTGAAGCCTATGATGCAAAAGAAAATATATTCACAGAAAAACTAGACAGAAGCATTCTCAGGAACTTGTATGTGATGTGTGCATTCAACACACAGAGTTGAACCTTCCTCTTGATAGAGCTGTTTTGAAACATTCTCTTTGTAGGATCTGCAAGTGGATGTTTTTTGCGATTTCAGGCTATGGTGGAAAAGGAAATATCTTCACATAAAAGCCTGACAGAATGATTCTCAGAAACTGCTTTGTGATTTCTGCATTCAACAGACAGAGTTGAACATTTCTTTTGATAGAAGAGTACTGAAACACTACTTTTGTGGAATCTGCTTGTGGATATTTCGAGCTCTTTGAGGATTTCGTTGGAAACGAGATATCTTCAAATAAAAACTAGAAAGAAGCATTCTCAGAAACTGCTTTGTGATGTGTGAGTTCAACTCAGAGAGTTGAACACTTCTTTAGAAAGAGCAGTTTTGAAACAAACTTTTTCATGAATCTGCAAGTGTTCACTTGGAGCGCTTTGAGGCCTATGGTGGAAAAGGAAACATCTTAACAGAAAAACTAAGCAGAAGCATTCTCAGAAACTTTTTTGTGATGTATGCATCCTACTCACAGAGTTGAAGATTCCTTTTGAGAGAGCAGTTTTGAAACAGTCTTTTTGTAGAATCTGCAAGTGGATATTTGGAGTGATCTGAAGCCTATTTTGGAAAAGGAAATATCTTCACAGAAAATCTAGACAGAAGCATTCTCAGAAACTTGTTTGTGATGTGTGCATTCAAGTCACAGAGTTTAACCTTCCTGCTGATAGAGCTGTTTTGAAACAGTCCCTTTTTAGGATCTGCAAGTGGATATTTGGAGCGATTTCAGGCCTATGGTGGAAAAGGAAATATCTTCACATAAAAGATTGAGAGAATGATTCTCAGAAACGGCTTTGTGATGTGTGCATTCATCTCACAGAGGTGAACATTTCTTTTGATAGAGCAGTATTGAAACACTACTTTTGTAAAATCTACTTGTGGATATTTGGAGCTGTTTGAGGATTTAGTTGGAAAAGAGATATCTTCAAATAAAAATTAGACGAAAGCATTCTCAGAAACTGCTTTGTGATGTGTGAGTTCAATTCAAAGAGTTGAACACTACTTCAGAAAGAGCAGTTTTGAAACACTCTTTTTCTAGAATCCGCAAGTGTTCATTTGGAGCGCTTTCAGGCCTATGGTGGAAAAGAAAACATCTTCACATACATAAAAACTAGGCAGAAGCATTCTCAGAAACTTCTTTGTGATGTATGCATTCAACTCACAGAGTTGAACTTTCCTTTTGAGAGAGTAGTTTTGAAACAGTCTTTTTGTAGAATCTGCAAGTGGATACTTGGAGCTATTTGAAGACTATTTTGGAAAAAGGAATATCTTCACAGAAAAACTAGACAGAAGCATTCTCAGGAACATGTTTGTGATGTGTGCATTCAACTCCCAGAGTTGAACCTTCCTTTTGATAGAGCTGTTTTGAAACACTCCCTTTATTGGATCTGCAAGTGGATATTTGGAGCGATTTCAGGCCTAAGGTGGAAAAGGAAATACCTTCACATAAAAGCTTGACAGAAGCATTCTCAGAAACTGCTTTGTGATGTGTGCATTCAACTCACAGAGTTGAACATTTCTTTTCATAGAGCAGTACTGAAACAATTCTTTTGTAGAATCTGCTTGTGGATATTTGGAGCTGTTTTAGGATTTCTTTGTAAATGAGATATCTTCAAATAAAAACTAGATAGAAGCATTCTCAGAAACTGCATTGTGATGTGTGCACACAAATCACATATTTGATCTTTACTTCTGATAGTGCAGTTGTGAAACACTCTTTTTGTAGAATCTTCACGTGTTCATTTGTAGCGCTTTGGGGCGTATGATGGAAAAGGAGGTAACTTGACATAAAATTAGACAGAAGCATTCTGAGGAACTTCTTTTTAATGTGTGCATTCAACTCACAGAGTTGAACTTTCCTGTTGATAGACCTGTTTGAACAGTCTCTTTGTAGGATCTGCAAGTGGATATTTGGAGAGATTTCAGGCCTATGTTGGAAATGGAAATATCCTCACATAAATGCTTGACAGAAGCATTCTCAGAAACTGCTTTGTGATGTGTGCATTCAACTCACAGTGTAGAAACTTCCTTTTGGTAGAGCAGTGATGAAACAGTCTTTTTGTAGGATCTAGAAGTGGAAATTTGGAGTGATTTGAGGCCTATGGTGGAAAATGAAATATCTTCACATAAAAACTAGACAGAAGCATTCTCAGAAAGTTCTTTGAGATGTGTCCATTCACCTCACAGAGGTAAACCTTCCTTTTGATAGAACAGTTTTGAAACACTCCTTTTGAATTATCTGCTTCTGGATATTTGGAGCTCTTTGAGGCTTTCATTATAAACGAAATATCTTCGCAGAAAAACTACACAGAAGCTTTCTCAGAAACTGTTTTGTGATGAGTGCATTCATCTAGGAGAGTTGAACATGTCTTTAGAAAGAGCAGTTTTGAAACAATCTTTTTCTAGAATCTGCAAGTGTTCATTTGGAGCACTATGAGGCCTATGGTGGAAAAGGAAACATCTTCACATAAAAACTAGGCAGAAGCATTCTCAGAAACGTCTTTTTGATGTACGCATTCAACTCACAGAGTTGAAACTTCCTTTTGAGAGAGCAGTTTTGAAACAGTCTTTTTGTAGAATCTGCCAGTGGATATTTGTAGCAATTTGAAGCTTAAGTTGGAAAAGGAAATATGATCACAGAAAAACTAGACAGAAGCATTCTCAGGAACTTGTTTGTGAAGTGTGCATTCAACTCACAGAGTTGAACCTTCCTGTTGATAGAGCTGTTTTGAAACAGTCTCTTTGTAGGATCAGCAAGTGGATATTTGGAGCGAATTCAGGCCTATGGTGAAAACGAAATATCTTCACATAAAAGCTTGACAGAAGCATTTTCAGAAACTGCTTTGTGATGTGTGCATTCACATCACACAGTTGAACATTTCTTTTGATTGAGCAGTACTGAAACACTACTTTTGTAGAATCTGCTTGTGGATATTTGGTGGTCTTTGAGGATTTCGTTGGAAACTAGATATCTTCAAATAAAAACTAGACAGGAGCATTCTCAGAAACTGCTTTGTGATGTGTGAATTCAGTTCAGAGAGTTGAACACTTCTTTAGAAAGAGCAGTTTTGAAACACTCTTTTTATAGAATCTGCAAGTGTTCGCTTGTAGGGCTTTGAGGCCTATGGTGGCAAAGGAAACATCTTCACATGAAAACTAATCAGAAGGATACTCAGAAACTTCTGTGTGATGTATACATTCAACTCACAGAGTTGAACCTTCTTTTTGAGAGAGCAGTTTTGAAACAGTCTTTTTGTAGCATCTCCAAGTGGATATTGGGAGCGATTTGCAGCCTATGTTGGAAAAGGAAATATCCTCACAGAAAAAATTGACAGAAACATTCTCAGGAACTTGTTTGTTATGTGTGCATTCAACACACAGAGTTGAACACTTCTTTTGTTAGAGGAGTACTGAGACACTACTTTTGTAGAATCTGCTTGTGGATATTTGGTGCGCTTTGAGGATTTCATTGGAAATGATATATCTTCAAATAAAAACTAGGCAGAAGCATTCTCAGAAACTGCTTTGTGATGTGTGAATTCAATTCAGAGAGTTTAACACTTCTTTAGAAAGAGCAGTTTTGAAACACTCTTTTTCTAGAATTTGCAAGTGTTCATTTGGAGCGCTTTGAGGCCTATGGTGGAAAAGGAAACACTTTCACATAAAAACTAGGCAGAAGCATTCTCAGAAACTTCTTTCTGATGTATGCATTCCACTCACGGAGTTGACCCTTCCTTTAGAGAGAGCAGTTTTGAAACAGTCCTTTTGTAGAAACTGCAAGTGGATATTTGGAGCGATTTGAAGCCTATGTTGGAAAAGGAAATATCTTCACAGAAAAACTAGACAGAAGCAATCTCAGGAACTTATTGTGATGTGTGCATTCAACTCACAGAGTTGAACCTTCCTGTTGATAGAGCTGTTTTTAAACAGTCTCTTTGAAAGATATGCAACTAGATATTTGGAGAGATTTCAGGCCTATGGTGGAAAAGGAAATATCTTCCCATAAAAGCTTGACAGAACAGTCTCCGAAACTGTTTTGTGATGTGTGCATTCAACTCACAGAATTGAACATTTCTTTTGATAGAGCAGTAGTGTAACACTAGTTTTGTAGAATCTGCTGTTGGATATTTGGAGCTGTTTGAGGATTTCGTTGGAAACGAGATAACTTCAAATAAAAACTAGACAGAAGCATTCTCAGAAACTGCTTTGTGATGTGTGAATTCAACTCAGAGAGTTGAACACTTCTTTAGAAAGAGCAGTTTTGAAACACTCTTTTTCTATTATCTGCAAGTGTTCATTTGGAGCGCTTTCAGTCCTACGGTGGAAAAGGAAATATCTTCCCATAAAAACTGAACTGAAGCGTTCTAGGAAACTTCTTTGTGATATGTGCATTCAACTCACAGAGTTTAATCTTCCTTTTGATAGAGTAGTGTTGAAACCGTCTTTTTCTAAGATCTAGAAGTGGAAATTTGGAGTGATTTGAGGCCTATGGTGGAAAAGGAGATATCTTCTCATAAAAACTAGACAAAAGCATTCTCAGAGAGTTCTTTGAGATGTGTCCATTCACCTCACAGAGTTAAACCTCTCTTTTGATAGAGCAGTGTTGAAACACTCCTTTTAAAGAAGCTACTTGTGGATATTTGGAGCTCTTTGAGGCCTTCTATGGAAACGGGCTATGTTCACAGAAAAACTAAACAGAAGCGTTCTCAGAAACTTCTTTGTGATATGTGAATTCAACTCAGTGAGTTGAACACTTCTTTAGAAAGAGCAGTTTTGAAACCCTCTTTTTCTAGAATCTGCAAGTGTTCATTTGGAACGCTTTGAGGCCTATGGTGGAAAAGGAAACATCTTCACATAAAAACTAGGCAGAAGCATTCTCAGAAACTTCTTTGTGATGTGTGCATTCAACTCACAGAGTTGTACCTTCCTTTTCAGAGAGCAGTTTTGAAACAGTCTTTTTGTAGAATCTGCAAGTGGATATTTGGAGCGATTTGAAGCCTATGTTGGAAAAGGAAATATCTTCAGAGAGAAACTAGACAGAAGCATTCTCAGGAACTTGTATGTGATGTGTGCATTCAACTCACAGAGTTGAACCTTCCTGTTGATAGAGCTGTTTTGAAACAGTCTCTTTATAGGTTCTGCAACTGCATATGGGGAGCATTTTCAGGCCTATGTTGGAAAAGAAATTATCTTCACATAAAAGCTTGACAGAAGCGTTCTCAGAAACGGCTTTGTGATGTGTGCATTCACTCACAGAGTTGAACATTTCTCTTGATGGAGCAGTTTAGAAACACTCCCTTTCTGGAATCTGCAAGTCTTCATTTGGAGATCTTTCAGTCCTATTGTGGAAAAGGAAATATCTTCAGAGAGAAACTAGACAGAAACATTCTCAGGAACTTGTTTGTGATGTGTGCATTCGACTCACAGAGTTGAACCTTCCTTTTGATAGTTCAGTGTTGAAACACTCTTTCAAACACTCTTACATCACAAAGAAGTTTCTGAGAATGCTTCTGCCTAGTTTTTATGTGGAGTTGTTACCTCTTCCACCAAAAACCACAAAGCGCTCCAAATGAACACTTCCAGATTCTAGAAAAATAGTGTTTCAAAGCTTCTCTTTCTAAAGAAGTGTTAAACTCTCTGAGTTGAATTCACACATCAAAAAGCAGTTTCTGAGAATGCTTCTGTCTAGTTTTTATTTAAAGATAAGTTGATTCCAATGAAGTCCTCAAAGAGCTCCAAATATCCACAATCAGGTTCTACAAAAGTAGTGTTTCAGTACTGCTCTATCAAAAAAAAATATTCAACTCGGTGAGCTGAATGCACACATCACAAACAAGTTCCTGAAAATGTTTCTGTTAAACTTTTATGTGAAGATATTTCCATTTACACCATAGGCCTGAAATCGCTCCAAATATCCACTTGCAGAACGTACAAAGAGATTGTTTCAAAACAGCTCTCTCAATAGGAAGGTTCAGCTCTCTGAGTTGAATGCACACATCACAAACAAGTTCCTGAGAATACTTTTGTCTAGTTTTCCTGTGAATTTTGTATCCTTTTCCAATATATGCTTCATATCACTCCAAATATGCAATGGCAGATTCTACAAAAAGACTGTTTCAAAACTGCTCTCTCAAAAGGAAGGTTCAAATCTGTGTGTTGAATGCATACATCACAAAGAAGTTTCTGATAATGCTTCCGCCTAGTTTTTATGTGAAGATATTTCCTTTTCCACCGTGCGCCTCAAAGTGCTCCAAATGAACACTTGCAGATTCTAGAAAAGGAATGTTTCAAAACTGTTCTTTCTAAAGAAATGTTCACCTCTCTGAGTTGAATGCACACATCACAAAGCAGTTTCTGAGAATGCTTCTGTCTAATTTTTATTTGAAGATATCCCGTTTCCAAGGAAATCTTCAAACATCTCCAAATATCTACAAGCAGATTCTACAAAAGTAGTGTTTCAGTACTTCTCTACCAAAAGAAATGTTCAACTCTGTGAGCTGAACGCACACATCACAAAGCTGTTTGTGAGAATGCTTCTGTCATGGTTTTATGTGAAAGTATTTCCTTTTTCAACATTGGCCTCAAATATCTCCAAATATCCACTTGCAAATCCTACAAAGAGACTGTTCCAAACACCTCTATCAACAGGAAGTTTCAACTCTCTGAGTTGAATGCACACATCACAAAGAAGGTCCTGAGAATGCTTCTGTCTAGTTTTTCTGTGAAAATATTTCCTTTGCCAACATAGGTTTCAAATCACTCCAAATATCCACTTACAGATTCTACAAAAAGACTGCTTCAAAACTGCTCTCTCAAAAGAAAGTTTCAGTTCTGTGAGTTGAATGCACACATCACAAAACAGTTTCTGAGAATGCTTCTGTCAACTTTTTGTGTGAAGATGTTTCCTTTTCCACTACAGGCCTCAAAGTGCTCCAAATGAATACTTGCAGATTCTAGAAAAAGTTTGTTTCCAAACTGCTATTTCTCAAGAAGTGTTCAACTCTCTGAGTTGAATTCACACATCACAAAGCAGTTTCTTAGAATGCTTCTGTCTAGATTTATTTGAAAATATCTCATTTCCAACAAAATCCTCAAACAGCTCCAAATATCCTCAAGCAGATTCTACAAAATGGTGTTACGGTACTGCACTATCAAAAGAAATGTTCAACTCTATGAGTAGAATGCACACATCACAAAGCAGTTTCTGAAAATGCTTCTATCAATCTTTTATGTGAAGATATTTCCTTTTCCACCATAGACCTGAAATCGCTCCAAATATCGACTTGCAGATCCTACAAAGTGATTGTTTCAAAACAGCTCTCTCAAGAGGAAGGTTCAACTCTATGAGTTGAATGCACACATCAGAAACAAGTCCCTGAGAATGCTTCTGTCTAATTTTCCTGTGAAGATATTTCCTTTTCCAACATAGGCTTCAAATCTCTCCAAATATCCACTTGCAGATTCTATAAAAAGACTGTTTCAAACTGCTCTCACAAAAGGAAAGTTCAACCCCGTGAGTTGTATGCACATATCACAAAGAAGTTTCTGAGAATGCTTCTGCCTAGTTTTTAAGTGAAGATATTTCCTTTTCCAACATAGGCCTCAAAGCGCTCCAAATGAACACTTGCATCTTCTAGAAAAAGAGTGTTTCAAAACTGCTCATTCTAAAGAAGTGTTCAACACTCTGAGTTGAATTCACACATCACAAAGCAGTTTCTGACAATGCTTCTGTCTACTTTTTATTAGAGGATATCGCGTTTCCAATGAAATCCTCAAAGAGCTCCAAATATCCTGAAGTAGATTCTACAAAAGTGGTGTTTCAGCACTGCTCTATCAAAAGAAATGTTCAACTCAGTGAGTAGAATGCACACATCACAAAGCAGTTTCTGAGAATGCTTCCATCAAGATTTTATGTGAAGATATTTCCTTTTCCACCATAGGCCAGAAATCGCTCAAAATATCAATTTGCAGATCCTACAAAGAGACTGTTTCAAAACTGCTCTATCAACAGGAAGGTTCAACTCAGTGAGTTGAATGCACACATCACAAACAAGTTCCTGAGAATTCTTCTGTCTAGTTTTTCTGGGAAGATATTTCCTTTTACAACACAGGCTTCAAATCGCTCCAAATATCCACTTGCAGATTCTGCAAAAAGACTGTTTCAAAACTTCTCTCTCAAACGGAAGATTCAACTCCGTGAGTTGAATGCATACATCACAAAGAAGTTTCTAGAATGCTTCTACCTAGATTTTATGTGAAGATGACCCCTTTTCTACCATAGATCTCAAAGTGCTCCCAATGAACCTTTGCAGATTCAAGAAAAATATTATTTGAAAAATACTCTTTCTAAAGAAGTGTTCAACTCTCTGAGTTGAATTCACACATCACAAAGCAGTGTCTGAGAATGCTTCTGTCTAGTTTATATTTGAAGATATCTCGTTTCCAACGAAATCCTCAAAAAGCTCCAAATATCCACAAGCAGATGCTACAAAAGTAGTCTTTCAGTACTGCTCTATCAAAAGGAATGTTCAACTCTGTGACTGAAAAGCACACATCACAAACAAGTTCCTTAGAATGCTTCTGTCTAGTTTTTCTGTGAAGATATTTCCTTTTCCAACATAGGCTTCAAATCGCTCCAAATACCCACCTGCAGATTCTACAAAAAGAATGTTTCAAAAATGCTCTCTCAAAAGGAAGGTTCAACTCCGCGAGTTGAATGCATACATCACAAAGAAGTTTCTGAGGATGTTTCTGCCTAGATTTTATGTGAAGATGTTTCCTTTTCCACCATTGGCCTCAAATCTCTCCGAATGAACATTTGCAGATTCTAGAAAAAGATTATTTCAAATCTGATCTTTCTAAAGAAGTGTTCAACTCTCTGAGTTGAATTCACACATCACAAAGCAGTTTCTGAGAATGCTTCTGTCTAGTTCTTATTTGAAGATATCTCGTTTCCAACGAAACCGTCAAACAGCTGCAAATATCCACAAGCAGATTCTACAAAAGTAGTGTTTAAGTACTGCTGTATCAAAAGAAATGTTCAACTCTGTGAGTTGAATTCATACATCAGAAACAAGTTCTTGAGAATGCTTCTATCCAGTTTTTCTGTGAAGATAATTCCTTTTCCAACATAATCTTCAAATCGCTCAAATATCCACTTGCAGATTCTGCAAAAAGACTGTTTCAAAACTTCTCTCTCAAAAGAAAGGTTCAACTTCATGAGTTCAATGCACATATCACAAAGAAGTTTCTGATAATGCTGCTGCCCAGTTGAACCTTCCTTCTGAGAGAGCAGTTTTGAACCGTCTTCTGAGGAGTTAAACTTCTGAGGAGTTGAACCTTACTTCTGAATCTTCCTTCCTTCCTTGAACCTTCCTTCCTTGAACATTCCTTCCTTCCTAGAATCTGCAATTGGATATTTCTAGCGATTTGAAGCCTATGTTGGAAAAGGAAATATCTTCACAGAAAAACTAGACAGAAGCATTCTCAGGAACTTGTTTTTGTTGTGTGCATTCAACTCACAGAGCTGAATCTTCCTGTTGAGAGAACTGTTTAGAAACAGTCTCTTTGTAGGATATGTAAGTGGATGTTTGGAGCAATTTCAGGCCTATGGTGGAAAAGGAATTATCTTCACATAAAAGCTTGACAGAAGCATTCTCAGAAACTGCTTTATTATGTGTGCATTCAACTCACAGAGTTGAATATTTCTTTTGATAGGGCAGTACTGAAACACTACTTTTGTAGAATCTGCTTGTGGATATTTGGATCTCTTTGAGGATATCTTGGAAACGAGATAACTGCAAATAAAAACTAGACAGAAACATGCTGAGAAACTGCGTTGTGATGTGTGAATTCAACTCAGAGAGTTGAACACCACTTTAGAAAGAGCAGTTTTGAATCACTTTTTTCTAGAATCTGCAAGTGTTCATTTGGAGCGCTTGGATGCCTATGGTGGAAAAGGAAATATCTTCACATATAATCTAGACAGAAGCATTCTCAGAAACTTCTTTGTGATATATGCATTGTACACACGGAGTTTAAACTTCCTTTGAGAGAGCAGTTTTGAAACAGTCTTTTTGTAGAATTTGCAAGTGGATAGTTGAAGCGATTTGAAGCCTATTTAGGAAAAGTAAATATCCTCACAGGAAAACTAGACAGAAGCATTCTAAGGAACTCGTTTGTGATGTCTGCATTCAACTCACAGAGTTGAACCTTCCTGTTGATAGAGCTGTTTTGAAACAGTCTCTTTGTAGGATCTGCAAGTGGATATTTCAAGCGATTTCCTGCTTTTGATGTACAAGGAAATATCTTCATATAAAAGCTTGACAGAATCATTCATTGAATCTGCTTTGTGATGTGTGCATTCAACTCACAGAGATGAACATTTCTTTTGATAGAGCAGTACTGAAACACGACTTCTGTAGAATCTGCTTGTGGATATTTGGGGCTATTTGAAGATTTCATTGGAAACGGGATAACTTCAAATAAAAACCAGACAGAAGCATTATCAGAAACTGCTTTGTGATGTGTGAATTCAACTCAAAGCTTTGAACACTTCTTGAGAAAGAGCAGTTTTGAAACCCTCTTGTTAAACAATCTGCAAGTGTTCATTTGGTGTGCTTTGAGTCCTGTGGTGGAAAAGGAAACTTTTTCACATAAAAACTAGGCAGAAGGTTTCTCAGAAACTACTTTGTGATGTACGTATTCAACTCACAGAGTTGATCCCTCCTTTTGAGAGAGCGGTTTTGAAACAGTCTTTTTGTAGAATCTGCAAGTGGATATTTGGAGCGATTTGAAGCCTATGTAGGAAAAGGAAATATCTTCACAGTAAAAGTAGACAGAAGCATTATCAGGAACTTGTTTGTGATGTGAGCATTCAACTCACAGAGCTGAACATTTCTTTTGATACCGCAGTACTGAAACACTAATTTTGTGGAATCTGCTTGTGGATATTTGGAGTTCTTTGTGTATTTTGCTGGAAACGAATTATCTTCAAATAAAAACTAGACAGAAGCATTCTCAGAAACTGCTTTGTGATGTGTGAATTCAACTCAGAGAGTTGAACACTTCTTTAGAAAGAGCAGTTTTGAAATACTCTTTTTCTTGGATCTGCAAGTGTTCGTTTGGAGTTCTTTGAGGCCTATGGTGGAAAAGTAAACATCTTCACATAAAAACAAAGCAGAAGCATTCTCAGAAACTTCTTTGTGATGTATAAAGTCAACCAACGGAGTTGAACCTTGCTATTGAGGGAGCAGTTTTG
>NC_000001.11:124932824-124977944 GCF_000001405.40 Homo sapiens | reverse complement strand
TATGGTGGAAAAGGAAATATCTTCACATAAAAGCTTAACAGAAGCATTCTCAGAAACTGCTTTATTATGTGTGCATTCAACTCACAGAGTTGAACATTTCTTTTGATAGAGCAGTACTGAAACACTACTTTTGTAGAATCTGCTTGTGTATATTTGGAGCTGTTTTAGGATTTCTTTGGAAACGAGATAACTTCAAATAAAAACTAGACAGAAGCATGCTGAGAAACTGCTTTGTGATGTGTGAATTCAACTCAGAGAGTTGAACACTTCTTTAGAAAGAGCAACTTTGAAACACTCTTTTTCTAGGATCTGCAAGTATTCATTTGGAGTGCTTGGAGGCCTATGTTGGAAACGGAAACATCTTCACATATAATCTAGACAGAAGCATTCTCAGAAACTTCTTTATGATGTATGCATTGTACACACAGAGTTGAACCTTCCTTTGAGAGAGCAGTTTTGAAACAGTCTATTTGTAGAATCTGCAATTGGATATTTCTAGCGATTTGAAGCCTATGTCGGAAAAGGAAATATCCTCACAGAAAAACTAGACAGAAGCATTCTCAGGAACTTGTTTGTGATGTCTGCATACACCTCACAGAGTTGAACAATCCTGTTGATAGAGCTGTTTTGAAACAGTCTCGTTGTAGGATCTGCAAGTGGATATTTCGAGCGATTTCATACCTACGGTGGGCAAGAAAATATCTTCATATAAAAGCTGGAGAGAAGCATTCTCTGAAACTGCTTTGTGATGTGTGCATTCAACACACAGAGTTGAACATTTCTTTTGATAGAGCAGTACTGAAACACGACTTCTGAAGAATCTACTTGAGGATATTTGGAGCTGTTTGAAGATTTCGTTGGAAATGAGATAACTTCAAATAAAAACCAGACAGAAGCATTCTCAGAAACTGCAGTGTGATATGTTAATTCAACTCAAAGGGTTGAACATTTCATGAGAAAGAGCAGTTTTGAAACACTATTTTTCTAGAATCTGCAAGTGTTCATTTGGAGCGCTTGGAGGCCTATGGTGGAAAAGGAAACATCTTCACATATAATCTAGGCAGAAGCATTCTCAGAAAATTATTTGTGATGTATGCATTGCACAGACTGTGTTGAAACGGCCTTTAAGAGAGCAGTTTTGAAACAGTCTTTTTGTAGAATCTGCACGTGGTTATTTGAAGCAATTTGAAGCCTATTTTGGAAAAGGAAATATCCTCCCAGAAAAACTAGACAGAAGCATTCTCAGGAACTTGTTTGTGATATCTGCATACAACTCACAGAGTTGAACCTTCCTGTTGATAGAGCTGTTTTGAAACAGTCTCTTTGTAGGATCTGCAAGTGGATATTTCGAGCGATTTCCTGCTTTTGATGTACAAGGAAATATCTTCATATAAAAGCTTGACAGAATCATTCATTGAATCTGCTTTGTGATGTGTGCATTCAACTCACAGAGATGAACATTTCTTTTGATAGAGCAGTACTGAAACACGACTTCTGTAGAATCAGCTTGAGGATATTTGGAGCTGTTTGAAGATTTCGTTGGAAACGAGGTAACTTCAAATAAAAAAGAGACAGAAGCATTCTCAGAAACTGCTTTGTAATGTGTGAATTCAACTCAAAGGGTTGAACACTTCTTGTGAAAGAGCAGTTTTGAAACACTATTTTTCTAGAATCCGAAAGTGTTCATTTTGTGCCCTTTGAGGCCTATGGTGGAAAAGGAAACATCTTCACATAAAAACTAGGGAGAAGCATTCTCAGAAACAACTTTGTGATGTACGCATTCAACTCACAGAGTTGAACCTTCCTTTTGAGAGAGCAGTTTTGAAACAGTCATTTTGAAGAATCTGCAAGTGGATATTTGGAGTGATTTGAAGCCTACGTTGGAAAAGGAAATATCTTCACAGCAAAACTAGACAGTAGCATTCTCAGGAACTTGTTTGTGATGTGGGCATACAACTCACAGAGCTGAAAATTCCTGTTTAGAGAGCTGTTTCGAAACAGTCTCTTTGTAGGATTTGCAAGTGGATATCTGGAGCGATTTCAGGCCTATGGTGGTAAAGGAAATACCTTCACATAAAATCTTGACAGAAGCATTCTCAGAAACTGCTTTGTGATGTGCACATTCAACTCACAGAGTTGAATATTTCCTATGATAGAGCAGTACTGAAACACTACTTTTGTAATATCTGTTCGTGGATATTTGGAGCTGTTTGAAGATTTCGTTGGAAACGAAATATCTTCAAATAAAAACTACAGAGAAACATTGTCAGAAACAGTTTTGTGATGTGTGAATTCAACTCAGAAAGTTGAACCCTTCTTTACAAAGAGCAGTTTTGAAACACTCTTCTAGAGTTTTCTAGTGTTCATTTGGAGCACTATCAGGCCTATGGTGGAAAAGGAAACGTCTTCACATAAAAACGAGGCAGAAGTGTTCTCAGAAACTTCTTTGTGATGTATGCATTCAACTGACACAGTTGAACCTTCCTTTTGAGAGAGCGGTTTTGAAACAGTCTTTTTGTAGAAACTGCAAGTGATTATTTGGAGCGATTTGAAGCCTATGTTGGAAAAGGAAATATCTTCACAGAAAAACTAGACAGAAGCATTCTCAGGAACTTGTTTGTGATGTGTGCATTCAACTCACAGAGTTGAACATTTCTTTTGATAGAGCAGTACTGAAACACTACTGTTGTAGATTCTGCTTGTGTATATTTGGAAGTGTTTGAGGATTTCGTTGGAAACGAGATATCTTCAAGTCAAAACTACAGAGAAGCATTCTCAGAAACTGCTTTGTGATGTGTGAATTCAACTCAGTGAGTTGAACACTTCTTCAGAAAGAACAGTTTTGAAACACTCTTTTTCTAGTATCTGCTTGTGGATATTTGGAGCTCTTTGAGGATTTCGTTGGAAACGAGATAACTTCAAATGAAACCTAGACAGAAGCTTTCTCAGAAACTGCTTTGTGATGTGTGAATTCAACTCAGAGAGCTGAACACTTCTTTAGAAAGAGCAGTTTTGGAACACTCCTCTTCTAGAATCTGCAAGTGTTCATTTGGAGCTCTTTGAGGCCTATGGGTGGACAAGGAAACATCTTCACATAAAAACTAGACAGAAGCATTCTCAGAGACATCTTTGTGATGTATGCATTCATATCACAGAGTTGAAACTTCCTTTTGAGAGAGCAGTTTTGAAACAGTCTTTTTGCAGAATCTGCAAGTGGATATTTGGAGTGATTTGAAGCCTATGTGGGAAATGAAAATGTCTTCAAAGAAAAACTAGAAGGAATCACTCTCAGGAACTTTTTTCAGATGCGTGCATTCAACTCACAGAGTTGAACATTTCTTTTGATTGAGCAGTACTGAAACACTACTAATGGAGAATCTGCTTGTGGATATTTGGAGCTCTTTGAGGTTTTCCTTGGAAACGAAATATCTTCAAATCAAAACTACTGAGAAGCATTCTCGTAAACTGCTTTTTGATGTGTGAATTCAACTCAGAGTGTTGAACACTTCTTTAGAAAGAGCAGTTTTGAAACACTATTTTGCAAGAGTCTGCAAGTGTTCATTTGGAGAGCTTTGAGGCCTAAGGTGGAAAGGGAAACATCTTCACATAAAAACTAGGCAGAAGCATTCTCAGAAACTTCTTTGTGATGTATGCATTCCAATCACAGAGTTGAACCTTCCTTTTGAGAGAGCAGTTTTGAAACAGTCTTCTTGAAAAATCGGCAAGTTGATATTTGGAGCCATTTGAAGCCTATGATGGAAAAGGGTATATCTTCACAGAAAAAATAGACAGAAGATTTCTCAGGAACTTGTGTGTGATGTTTGCATTCAATACACAGAGCTGAACCTTCCTGTTGAGAGAGCTGTTTTGAAACAGTCTCTTTGTAAGATCTGCAAGTGGATATTTGGAGAGATTTCATGCCTATGGTGGAAAAGGAAATATCTTCATATAAAAGCTTGACAGAAGCATTCTCAGAAACTGCTTTTTGATGTGTGCATTCAACTCACATAGTTGAAATTTCTTTTGATAGAGCAGGACTGAAACACTACTTTTGTAGAATCTGCTTGTGGATATTTGGAGCTCTTTGAGGATTTCGTTGGAAACAAGATATCTTCAAATCAAAACTACAGAGAAGTATTCTCATAAAATGCTTTCTAGTGTGTGAATTAAACTGAGAGATTTGAACACCTCTTTAGAAAGAGCAGTTTTGAAACACTCTTTTTCTAGGATCTGCAAGTGTTCCTTTGGATCACTTTGAGGCCTACGGTGGATAAGGAAACATCTTCACATAAAAACTATGCAGAAACACTACCAGAAACTTCTTTGTGATGTATGCATTCAACTCACAGAGTTGAACCTTCCTTTTGAGAGAGCAGTTTTGAAAGACTTTTTGTAGAATCTGCAAGTGGATATTTGGAGCGATTTGAAGCCTATGTTGGAAAAGGAAATATTGTCACAGAAAAAGTTGACAGAAGCATTCTCAGTAACTTGTTTGAGATGTGTGCATTCAACTCACAGGGTTGAACATTTCTTTTGATAGAGCAGTACTGAAACAGTACTTTTGTAGAATCTGCTTTTGGATATTTGGATCAGTATGAGGATTTCTCTGGAAACGAGATATCTTCTAATCAAAACTACAGAGAAGCAATTCCAGAAACTGATTTGTGATGTGTGAAATCAACTCAGAGTGTTGAACACAGCCTTAGAAAGAGCAGTTTTGAAACGCTATTTTTCTAGAATTTGCAAGTGTTCATTTGGAGTGCTTTGAGGCCTATGGTGGAAAAGGAAACATATTTACTTGAAAACTAGGCAAAAGCATTCTCAGAAAGTTCTTTGTGAAGTATGCATTCAACTCACGGAGTTGAACCTTCCATTTGAGAGAGCAGTTTTGAAACAGTCTTTTTGTAGGTTCTGCAATTGTATATTTGGAGAGATTTCAAGGCTATGTTGGAAAAGCAAATATCTTCAGAGAAAAACTAGACAGAAGCATTCTCAGGAACTTGTTTGTGATGTGTGCATTCCACTCACAGAGTTGAACATTTCTTTTGATAGAGCAGTACTGAAACACTGCTTTTGTAAAATCTGCTTGTGGATATTTGGAGCTGTTTGAGGATTTCGTTGGAAACGAATTATCTTCAAATAAAAACGAGACAGAAGCATTCTCAGAAACTGCTTTGTGATGTGTGAATTCAACTCAGAGAGTTGAACACTTCTTTAGAAAGAGCCGTTTTGAAACACTCTTTTCTAGAATCTGCAAGTGCTCATTTGGAGCTCTTCGAGGCCTGTCGTGGAAAAGGAAACATCTTCACATAAAAACTAGGCAGAAGCATTTTCAGCAACTTCTTTGAGATGTATGCATTCAAATCACAGAGTTGAACCTTCCTTTTTAGAGAGCAGTTTTTAAACAGTCTTTTTGTAGAATCTGCAATTGGATATTTCGAGCGATTTGAAGCCCATGTTGGAAAAGGATATATCTTCACAGAAAAAGTAGATAGGAACATTTTCAGGAACTTGTTTGTGATGTGTGCATTCAACTCACAGAGCTGAACCTTCCTGTTGAGAGAGCTGTTTCAAAACAGTCTCTTAATAGGATCTGCAACTGGATATCTGTAGCGATTTCAGGCCTATGTCGGAAAAGGAAATACCTTCACATAAAATCTAGACAGAAGCATTCTCAGAAACTGTTTTGTGATGTGTGCATTCAACTCACAGAGTTGAATATTTCCTATGATAGAGCAGTACTGAAACACTACTTTTGTGGAATCTGCTGATGGATATTTGGAGTTGTTTGAGGATTTCATTGGAAACGAGATATCTTCAAATATAAACTGCAGAGAAGCATTCACAGAAACTGCTTTGTGATGTGTGAATTCAACTCACAGAGTTGAACCCGTCTTTAGAAAGAGCAGTTTTCAAACACTCTTTTTCTAGAAATTGCTTGTGTTCATTTGGAGGACTATCAGGCCTATGGTGGAAAAGGAAAAGTCTTCACATAAAATCTAGGCAGAAGCGTTCTCAGAAACTTCTTTCTGATGTATGCATTCAACTCACACAGTTGAAACTTTCTTTTGAGAGAGCAGATCTGAAACAGTCTTTTTGTAGAATCTGCTAGTGGATATTTGGAGGGATTTCAAGCCTATGTTGGAAAATGAAATATCTTCACAGAAAAACTAGACAGAAGCATTCTCAGGAACTTGTTTGTGATGTGTGCATTCAACTCACAGAGTTGAACATTTCTTTTGATAGAACAGTACTAAAAGACTACTTTTGTAGATTCTGCTTGTGTATATTTGGAAGTGTTTGAGGATTTCTTTGGAAATGAGATATCTTCAAGTCAAAACTACAAAGAAGCATTCTCAGAAACTGCTTTGTGATGTGTTGATTCAACTCAGAGAGTTGAACACTTCTTCAGAAAGAACAGTTTTGAAACACTCTTTTTCTAGTATCTGCTTGTGGATATTTGGAGCTCTTTGAGGATTTCGTTGGAAACGAGATAACTTCAAATGAAACCTAGACAGAAGCTTTCTCAGAAACTGCTTTGTGATGTGTGAATTCAACTTAGAGAGCTGAACACTTCTTTAGAAAGAGCAGTTTTGGAACACTCCTCTTCTAGAATCTGCAAGTGTTCATTTGGAGCTCTTTGAGGCCTATGGTGGACAAGGAAACATCTTCACATAAAAACTAGGCAGAAACATTCTCAGAGACATCTTTGTAATGTATGCATTCACCTCACAGAGTTGAAGCTTCCTTTTGAGAGAGCAGTTTAGAAACAGTCTTTTTGTAGAATCTACAAGTGGATATTTGGGGTGATTTGAAGCCTATGTTGGAAAAGGAAATGTCTTCAAAGAAAAACTAGTAAGAAGCATTCTCAGGAACTTGTTTGAGATGCGTGCTTTCAACTCACAGAGTTGAACATTTCTTTTGATAGAGCAGTACTGAAACACTACTAATGGAGAATCTGCTTGTGGATATTTGCAGCTCTTTGAGGATTTCATTTGAAATGAGATATCTTCAAATGAAAATTACATAGAAGCATTCTCGGAAACTGCTTTGTGATGTGTGAATTCACCTCAGAGTTTTGAACACTTCTTTAGAAAGAGCAGTTTTGAAACACTATTTTTCAAGGATCTGCAAGTGTTCATTTGGAGTGCTTTGAGGCCTATAGTGGAAAGGGAAACATCTTCACATAAAAACTAGGCAGAAGCATTCTCAGAAACTTCTCTGTGATGTATGCATTCTACTCACGGAGTTGAACCTTCCTTTTGAGAGAGCAGTTTTGAAACAGTCTTTTTGTAGAATCTGCAAGTGAATATTTGGAGCGATTTGAAGCCTATGTTGGAAAAGGAAATATGTTCACAGAAATGAAGACAGAAGCATTCTCAGGAACTTGTTTGTGATGCGTACCTTCAACTCACAGAGTTGAACATCTCTTTTGATAGAGCAGTACTGAAACACTACTTTTGTTGTATCTGCTTGTGGGTAATTTGAGATGTTTGAAAATTTCTTTGGAAACTAGATAACTTAAAATGAAAATTAGACAGAAGCATTCTCAGAAACTTCTTAGTGATGTGTGAATTCAACTCAGAGAGTTGAACACTTCTTTAGAAAGTGCAGTTTTGAAACACTCTTTTTCTAGAATCCGCAAGTGTTCACTGGGAGGGCTTCGAGGCCTATGGTGGAAAAGGAAACCTCTTCACATAAAAACTAGGCAGAAGCATTCTCAGAAACTCCTTTGTGAGGTATGCATTCAACTCACAGAGTTGAAGCTTCCTTTTGAGACAGCAGTTTTGAAACAGTCTTTTGGTAGAATCTGCAAGGGGATATTTGGAGCGATTTGATGCCTATGTTGGAAAAGGAAACATCTTCACAGAAATGTAGACAGAAACATTCTCAGGAATTTGTTTTTCATGCGTACATTCAACTCACAGAGTTCAACATCTCTTTTTATAGAGCAGTACTGAAACACTACTTTTTTAGAATCAGCTTGTGGATATTTGGAGGTGTTTGAGGATTTCATTATAAACGAATTATCTTCAAAAAAACTAGACAGAAGCATTCTCAGAAATTGCTTTGTGATGTGTGAATTCAGCTCAGAGAGGTGAACACTTCTTTAGAAAGTGCAGTTTTGAAATTCTCTTTTTCTAGAATCTGAGAGTGTTCATTTGGAGCGCTCTGAGGACTATGGAGGGAAAGGAAATATCTTCATATATAAACTAGGCAGAAGCATTCTCTGAAACTTCTTTGTGATGTATGCATTCTACTCACAGAGTTGAACCTTCCTTTTGAGAGAGCAGTTTCAAAACAGTCTTTTTGTAGAATCTGCAACTGGATATTTGGAGCGATGTCCAGCCGATGTTGGAAAAGGAAATATCTTCACAGAAAAACTAGACAGAAGAATTCTCAGGAACTAGTTTGAGATGTGTGCATTCAACTCACAGAGCTGAACTTTCCTGTTGAGAGAGCTGTTTAAACAGTCCCTTTGCAGGATCTGCAAGTGAATATTTGGAGCGATTTCAGTCCTATGGTGGAAAAGGAAATATCGTCACATAAATGCTTGACAGAAGGATTCTCAGAAACTGGTTTTTGATGTGTGCCTTCAACTCACATGGTTGAACATTTCTTTTGTTAGGGCAAAACTGAAACACTACTTTTGTAGAATCTGCACGTGGATATTTGTAGCTTTTTGAGGATTTCATTGGAAATGAGATAACTTCAAATAAAAACATGACAGAAGCATTCTCAGAAACTGCTTTGTGATGTGTGAATTCAACTCAGAGAGTTGAACATTCTTTAGAAAGAGCAGTTTTGGAACACTGTTTTTCTAGAATTTGCAGTTGTTCATTTGGAGCGTTTTGAGGCCTATGGTGGAAAAGGAAACATCTTCACATAAAAACTAGACAGAAGCATTCTCACAAACTACTTGGTGATGCATGCATTCAACTCACAGAGTTGAACCTTCCTTTTCAGAGAGCAGTTGTGAAACAGACTTTTTGTAGAATCTGCAAGTGGATATTTGGAGAGATTTGAAGCCTATGTTGGAAAAGGAAATTTCTTCACAGAAAAACTAGACGGAAGGATTCTAAGGGACTTGTTTGAGATGTGTGCATTAAACTCACAGAGTTGAACATTTCTTTTGATAGAGCAGTACTGAAACACTAATTTTGTACACTCTGCTTATGGATATTTGGAGCTGTTTGGGGATTTCATTGTAAACGAATTATCTTCAAATAAAAACTAGATAGAAGTATTCTCAGAAACTGCTTTGTGATGTGTGAATTCAACTAAGAGAATTAAACACTTCTTTAGAAAGAGCAGTTTTGAAACACTCTTTTTCTAGCATCTGTAAGTGTTCATTTGAAGTGCTTTGAGGCCTATAGTGGAAAACGAAACATCTTCACATAAAAACTAGGCAGAAGCATTCTCAGAAACTTCTTTTGGATGTATGCCTTCTACTCACAGAGTTGAACCTTCCTTTTGAGAGAGCAGTTTTGAAACAGTCTTTTTGTAGAATCTGCAAGTGGATATTTGGAGCGATTTGAATCCTCTGTTGGAAAAGCATATATCTTCACAGAAAAACTAGACAGAAGAATTCTCAGGAACTTCTTTGAGATGTGTGCATTCAACTCACAGAGCTGAACTTTCCTGTTGAGAGAGCTGTTTTAAACAGTCTCTTCGTAGGATCTGCAAGTGGATATTTGGAGCGATTTCATTCCTATGGGGGAAAAGGAAATATCTTCACATGCAAGCTTGCCAGAAGCATCCTCAGAAACTGCTGTTTGATGTGTACATTCAGCTCACAGAGTTGAACATTTCTTTTGATACAGCAGTACTGAAACACTACTTTTGTAGAATCTGCTTATTGATATTTGGAGCTGTTTGTGGATTTCGGTGGAAATGAATTATCTTCAAAAACAAACAAGACAGTGGCGTTCTCAGAAACTGCATTGTGATGTGTGAATTGAACTCAGGGAGTTGAACACTTCTTCAGAAATAGCAGTTTTGAAACACTCTTTTTCTAGAATCTGCAAGTGTTCATTTGGAGCGCTTTGAGGCCTATGGTAGAAAACGAAACCTCTGGGGGGAGGAGCCAAGATGGCCGAATGGGAACAGCTCGGGTCTACAGCTCCCAGCGTGAGAGATGCAGAAGACGGGCGATTTCTGCATTTCCTTCTGAGGTACCGGGTTCATCTCACTAAGGAGTGCCAGACAGTGGGCACAGGTCAGTGGGTGTGCACACCATGTGTAAGCCGAAGCAGGGTGAGGCATTGCCTCACTTGGGAAATGCAAGGGGTCAGGGAGTTCCCTTTCCCAGTCAAAGAAAGGGGTGAGGGACAGCACCTGGAAAATACGGTCACTCCCACCCGAACACTGCACTTTTCCGACGGGCTTAAAAAATGGTGCACCACAAGATTATATCCCGCACCTGTCTTGGAGGGTCCTATGCCCACGGAGTCTCACTGATTCCTAGCACAGCAGTCTGAGATTAAACTGCAAGGTGGCAGCGAGGCTGGGGGAGGGGCGCCTGCCATTGCCCAGGCTTGATTAGGTAAACAAAGCAGCAGGGAAGCTCGAACTGGGTGGAGCCCAACACAGCTCAAGGAGGCCTGCTGCCTCTGTAGGCTCCACATCTGGGGGCAGGAAACAGACAAAGAAAAAGACAGCAGTAACTTCTGCAGACTTAAAAGTCCCTGTCTGACAGCTTTGAAGAGAGCAGTGGTTCTCCCAGCACCCATCTGGAGATCTGAGAACAGGCAGACGGCCTCCTAAAGTGGGTCCCTGACCCCTGACCCCCAAGCAGCCTAACTGGGAGGAACCCCCCAGCAGGGGCACAACCATACCTCACAGGGCAGGGTATTCCAACAGACCTGCAGCTGAGGGTCCTGTCTGTTAGAAGGAAAACTAACAAACAGAAAGGACATCCACACCAAAAACCCATCTGTACATCACCATCATCAAAGACCAAAAGTAGATAAAACCACAAAGATGGGGAAAAAACAGAACAGAAAAACTGGAAAGTCTAAAAAGCAGAGCACCTCTCCTCCTCCAAAGGAATGCAGTTCCTCACCAGCAATGGAACAAAGCTGGATGGAGAATGATTTTGACAAGCTGAGAGAAGAAGGCTTCAGACGATCAAATTACTCTGAGCTACGGGAGGACATTCAAACCAAAGGCAAAGAAGTTGAAAACTTTGAAAAAATTTTAGAAGAATGTATAACTGGAATAACGAATAGAGAGAAGTGCTTAGAGGAGTGGATGGAGCTGAAAATCAAGGCTCGAGAACCACGTGAAGAATGCAGAAGCCTCAGGAGCCGATGCAATCAACTGGAAGAAAGGGTATCAGTGATGGAAGATGAAATGGATGCAATGAAGTGAGAAGGGAAGTTTAGAGAAAAAAGAATAAAAAGAAACGAACAGAGCCTCCAAGAAATATGGGACTATGTGAAAAGACCAAATCTACGTCTGATTGGTGTACCTGAAAGTGATGGGGAGAATGGAACCAAGTTGGAAAACACTCTGCAGGATATTATCCAGGAGAACTTCCCCAATCTAGCAAGGCAGGCCAATGTACAGATTCAGGAAATACAGAGAACGCCACAAAGATACTCCTCGAGAAGAGCAACTCCAAGACACATAATTGTCAGATTCACCAAAGTTGAAATGAAGGAAAAAAAGTTAAGGGCAGCCAGAGAGAAAGGTCGGGTTACCCTCAAAGGGAAGTTCATCAGACTAACAGCGGATCTCTCGGCAGAAACCCTACAAGCCAGAAGAGAGTGGGGACCAATATTCAACATTATTAAAGGAAAGAATTTGCAACCCAGAATTTCATATCCAGCCAAACTAACCTTCATAAGTGAAGGAGAAATAAAATACTTTACAGAGAAGCAAATGTTGAGAGATTTTGTCACCACCAGGCCTGCCCTAAAACAGCTCCTGAAGGAAGTGCTAAGTATGGAAAGGAACAACCAGTACCAGCCGCTGCAAAATCATGCCAAAATGTAAAGACCATCAAGACTAGGAAGAAACTGCAGCAACTAAAGAGCAAAATAACCAGCTAACATCATAATAACAGGATAAAATTCACACATAAAAATATTAACTTTAAATGTAAATGGACTAAATTCTCCAATTAAAAGACACAGACTGGCAAATTGGATAAAGAGTCAAGACCCATCAGTGTGCTGTATTCAGGAAATCCATCTCACGTGCAGAGACACATATAGGCTCAAAATAAAAGGATGGAGGAAGATCTACCAAGCAAATGGAAAACAAAAAAAGGCAGGGGTTGCAATCCTAGTCTCTGACAAAAGAGACTTTAAACCAACAAAGATTAAAAGAGACAAAGAAGGCCATTACATAATGGTAAAGGGATCAATTCAACAAGAAGAGCTAACTATCCTAAATATATATCCACCCAATACAGGAGCACCAAGACTTATAAAGCAAGTCCTGAGTGACCTACAAAGAGACTTAGACTCCCACACATTAATAATGGGAGACTTTAACACCCCACTGTCAGCATTAGAAAGACCAAAAGACAGAAAGTCAACAAGGATACCCAGGAATTGAACTCTGCTCTGCACCAAGTGTACCTAATAGACATCTACAGAACTCTCCACCCCAAATCAACAGAATATACATTTTTTTCAGCACCACACCACACCTATTCCAAAATTGACCACATACTTGGAAGTAAAGCTCTCCTCAGCAAATGTAAAAGAACAGAAGTTATAACAAACTATCTCTCAGACCACAGTGCAATCAAACTAGAACTCAGGATTAAGAATCTCACTCAAAACCGCTCAACTACATGGAAACTGAACATCCTGCTCCTGAATGGCAGCTGGGTACATAACGAAATGAAGGCAGAAAGAAAGATGTTCTTTGAAACCAAGGAGAACAAAGACACAACATAGCAGAATCTCTGGGATGCATTCAAGGCAGTGTGCAGAGGGAAATTTATAGCACTAAATGCCCACAAGAGAAAGCAGGAAAGATCCAAAATTGACACACTAACATCACAATTAAAAGAACTAGAAAAGCAAGAGCAAACACATTCAAAAGCTAGCAGAAGGCAAGAAATAACTAAAATCAGAGCAGAATTGAAGGAAATAGAGACGCAAAAAACCCTTCAAAAAATTAATGAATCCAGGAGCTGGTTTTTTGAAAGGATCAACAAAATTGATAGACCACTAGCAAGACTAATAAAGAAAAAAAGGGAGAAGAATCAAATAGACACAATAAAAAATGATAAAGGGGATATCACCACCGATCCCACAGAAATACAAACTGTCATCAGAGAATAGTACAAACACCTCTATGCAAATAAACTAGAAAATCTAGAAGAAAAGGATAAATTCCTCGACACATACACTCTCCCAAGTCTAAACCAGGAAGAAGTTGAATCTCTGAATAGACCAATAACAAGATCTGAAATTGTGGCAATAATCAATAGCTTACCAACCAAAAAAGAGTCCAGGACCAGATGGATTCACAGCCGAATTCTACCAGAGGTACAAGGAGGAACTGGTACCATTCCTTCTGAAACTATTCCAATCAATAGAAAAAGAGGGAATCCTCCCTAACTCATTTTATGAGGTCAGCATCATTCCGATACCAAAGCCGGGCAGAGACACAACAAAAAAAGAGAATTTTAGACCAATATCCTTGATGAACATTGATGGAAAAATCCTCAATAAAATACTGGGAAACCGAATCCAGCAGCACATCAAAAAGCTTATCCACCATGATCAAGTGGGATTCATCCCTGGGATGCAAGGCTGGTTCAATATACACAAATCAATAAATGCAATCCAGCATATAAACAGAGCCAAAACAAAAACCACATGATTATCTCAATAGATGCAGAAAAAGCCTTTGACAAAATTCAACAACCCTTCATGCTAAAAACTATCAATAAATTAGGTATCGATGGGACGTATTTCAAAATAATAAGAGCTATCTATGACAAACCCACAGCCAATATCATACTGAATGGGCAAAAACTGGAAGCATTCCTTTTGAAAACTGGTACAAGACAGGGATGCCCACTCTCACCACTGCTATTCAACACAGTGTTGGAAGTTCTGGCCAGGGCAATTAGGCAGGAGAAGGAAATAAAAGGTATTCAATTAGGAAAAGAGGAAGTCAAATTGTCCCTGTTTGCAGAAGACACGACTGTAGATCTAGAAAACCCCATTGTCTCAGCCCAAAATCTCCTTAAGCTGATAAGCAACTTCAGCAAAGTCTCAGGATACAAAATCAATGTACAAAAATCACAAGCATTCTTAAACAGCAACAACAGAAAAACTGAGAGCCAAATCATGAGTGAACTCCCATTCACAATTGCTTCAAAGAGAATAAAATACCTAGGAATCCAACTTACAAGGGATGTGAGGGACCTCTTCAAGGAGAACTACAAACCACTGCTCAAGGAAATAAAAGAGGATACAAACAAAAGGAAGAACATTCCATGCTCATGGGTAGGAAGAATCAATATCGTGAAAATGGACATACTGCCCAAGGTAATTTGCAGATTCAATGCCATCTCCATCAAGCTACCAATGACTTTCTTCACGGAATTGGAAAAAACTACTTTAAAGTTCATATGGAACCAAAAAAGAGCCTGCATCACCAAGTCCATCCTAAGCCAAAAGAACAAAGCTGGAGGCATCACACTACCTGACTTCAAACTATACTAAAAGGTTACAGTAACCAAAACAGCATGGTACTGGTACCAAAACAGAGATATAGATCAATGGAACAGAACAGAGACCTCAGAAATAATGCCGCATATCTACAGCTATCTGATCTTTGAGAAATCTGAGAAAAACAAGCAATGGGGAAGGGATTCCCTATTTAATAAATGGTGCTGGGAAAACTGGCTAGCCTTATGTAGAAAGCTGAAACTGTATTCCTTCCTTACACCTTATACAAAAATCAATTCAAGATGGATTAAAGACTTAAACGTTAGACCTAAAACCATAAAAACCCCAGAAGAAAACCTCGGCATTACCATTCAGGACATAGGCATGGGCAAGGATTTCATGTCTAAAACACCAAAAGCAATGGCAACAAAAGACAAAATTGACAAATGGGATCTAATTAAACTAAAGAGCTTCTGCACAGCAAAAAAAACTACCATCAGAGTGAACAGGCAACCTACAAAATGGGAGAAATTTTTCTCAACCTACTCATCTGACAAAGGGCTAATACCCAGAATCTACAATGAACTCAAACAAATTTACAAGAAAAAAACAAACAACCCCATCAAAAAATGGGCAAAGGACATGAACAGACACTTCTCAAAAGAAGACATTTATACATCCAAAAAACACATGAAAAAATGCTCATCATCACTGGCCATCAGAGAAATGCAAATCAAAACCGCAATGAGTTATCATCTCACACCAGTTAGAATGGCAATCATTAAAAAGTCAGGAAACAACAGGTACTGTTGAGGATGTGGAGAAATAGGAACACTTTTACACTGTTGGTGGGACTGTAAACTAGTTCAACCATTGTGGAAGTCAGTGTGGCGATTCCTCAGGGATCTAGAACTGGAAATACCATTTGACCTAGCCATCCCATTACTGGGTATATACCCAAAGGACTATAAATCATGCTGCTATAAAGACACATGCACATGTATGTTTATTGTGGCTTTACTCACGATAGCAAAGACTTGGAACCAACCCAAATGTCCAACAATGATAGACTGGATTAAGAAAATGTGGCACATATACACCATGGAATACTACGCAGCCATAAAAAATGATGAGTTCATGTCCTTTGTAGGGACATGGATGAAATTGGAAATCATCATTCTCAGTAAACTATCACAAGACCAAAAAACCAAATACCGCATATTCTCACTCATATGTGGGAATTGAACAATGAGATCACATGGACACAGGAAGGGGAACATCACACTCTGGGGACTGTTATGGGGTGGGGGGAGGGGGAAGGGATAGCATTGGGAGATATACCTAATGCTAGATGATGAGATAGTGGGTGAGGCGCAACAGCAAGGCACATGTATACATATGTAACATGTACCGTGCACATGTACCATAAAACTTAAAGTGTAATAATAAAAATAAATATATAAATAAACAAACAAATAAATAAATAAATAATAAAAATAAGAAAATAATTTAAAAAAATAAATAAATAAATAATAAAATTAAATAAATAAACAAATAAATAAATAAATAATAAACACTACTTTTGTAGGATCTGTGTATATTTAGAGTTGTTTGAGGATTTCGTAGGAAACGAATTACCTTCAAATAAAAAATAGAAGAATTCTCAGAAACTGCTTTGTGATGTGTGAATTCAACTCAGAGAGTTGAACACTTCTTTAGAAAGAGCAGTCTTGAAACACTCTGTTTTTAGAATCTGCAAGTGTTCATTTGGAGTGCTTTGAGGCCTATGGTGGAAAAGGAAACATCTTCACCTAAAAAGTAGGCAGAAGCATTCACAGAAACTTCTTTGTGATGTATGCATTCTACTCACAGTGTTGAACCTTCGTTTTGAGAGAGCAGTTTTGAAACTGTCTTTTTGTAGAATCCGCAAGTGGATATTTGGAGGGATTTCAAGCAGGTGTTGGAAAAGGAAATATCTTCACAAAAAAACTAGACAGAAGCATTCTCAGGAACTTGTTTGGGATGTGTGCATTCAACTCTCAGACCTGAACATTCCTCTTGAGAGAGTTGTTTTGAAACAGTTTCCTTGTAGGATCTGCAAGTGTATATTTGGAGTGATTTCACTTATATGGTGGAAAAGGAAATATCTTCACATAAAATCTTGGTAGAATCATTCTCAGAAAATGCTTTGTGATATGTGCATTCAACTCACAGAGTTGAACATTTCTTTTGATAGAGCCGTACTGAAACAGTACTTTGGTAGAATCTCCTTGTGTATATTTGGAGCTGTTTGAGGATTTCGTTTTAAAGAAGACATCTTAAATAAAAACTACTGAGAAGAATTCTCAGAAACTGTTTTGTGATGTGTGAATTGAACTCAGAGAGTTGAACAATTCTTTAGAAAGAGCAGTTTTGAAACACTCTTTTTCTAGAATCTGCAAGTGTTCATTTGGAACGCTTAGAGGTCTATGGGGGAAAAGGAAACATCTTCACATAAAAACTAGGCAGAAGCATTCTGAGAAACTTCGTTGTGATGTATGCATTCAACTCACAGAGTTGAACCTTTCTTTTATGAGAGAAGTTTTGAAAAAGTCTTTTTGCAGAATCCGCAAGTGCATATTTGGAGCGATTTGAAGCCTATGTTTGAAAAGGAAATATCTTCACAGAAAAACTGGACAGAAGCATTCTCAGGAACTTGTTTGGGATGTGTGCATTCGACTCACAGAGATGAACATTCCTCTTGAGAGAGCTGTTTGAAACAGTCTCTTTGTAGGATTTGAAAGTGGATATTTGGAGCGATATCCAGCCTATGGTGGAAAAGGCAATAACTTCACATAAAAGCTTGACAAACGCATTATCAGAAACCGTTTTTGATGTGTGCATTCAACTCACAGTGTTGAACATTTCTTTTGATAGAGCAGTACTGAAACACTATTTTTGTAGAATCTGCCTGTGGATATTTGGAGCTGTTTGAGGATTTCTTTGGAAAGGAGACATCTTCAACCAAATACTACAGAGAAGCATTCTCAGACACTGCTCTGTGGTGTCTGCATTCAACACACACAATTGAAAATTTATTTTGACAGAGCCGTACAGGAACACAACTTTTGTACTGTCTGTTTGTGCATATTTGGAGCTTTTTGAGAATTTCATTGGAAATTAAATATCTTCAAATAAATCTAGACAGGACCATTCTCAACAACTGCTTTTTGATGCGTGAATTCATCTCACAGAGTTGAACCTTCCTTTTGAGAGAGAAGTTTTAAAACAGTCTATTTGTAGAATCTGCAAGAGTGGATATTTGGAGCAATTTGAAGCCTATGTTGGAAAAGGAAATATCTTCACAGAAAAAATAGACAGAAGCATTCTCAGGAACTTGTTTGAGAACTGTGCATTCAACTCCCAGATTTCAACATTTCTTTTGATAGAGCAGTACTGAAGCACTACTTTTGTAGAATCTGCTTGTGAATATTTGGAGCTGTTTGAGGATTTCGTTGGAAACGACATATCTTTAAATAAAAACTACAGAGAAGCATTCTCAGAAACTGCTTTGTGAGGTGTGAATTCAACTCAGAGAGTTAAACACTACTTTAGAAAGAGCAGTTTTGAAACATTCTTTTTCTAAAATCGTCAAGTGTCCATTTGGAGCAGTTGAGGCCTATGGTGGAAAAAGGAAACATCTTCACATAAAACTAGGCAGAAGCATTCTCAGAAACTTCTTTGTGATGTATGCTTTCAACTCACGGAGTTGAAACTTCCTTTTGAGAGAGCAGTTTTGAAACAGTCTTCTTGTAGAATCTACATGTGTATATTTGGAGTGATTTGAATCCTGTGTTGGAAAAGGATATATCTTCACTGAAAAACTCGACAGAAGAATTCTCAGGAACTTGATTCTGTTGTGTGCATTCAACTCACAGAGCTGAAACTTCCTGTTGAGAGAGCTGTTTTGAAACAGTCCTTTTGTAGATTATGCAAGTGGATATTTGGGGCTATTTCAAGCATATGGCAGAAAAGGAAATATGTTCACATAAAAGCTTGACAGAAGCATTCTCAGAAACTGCTTTCTGATGTGTGCATTCAACTCACAGAGTTGAACATTTCCTTTGATAGAACAGTCCTGAAACACTACTTTTGTAGAATCTGCTTCTGGATATTTGGAGCTGTTTCAGGATTTTGTTGGAAACGAGATAACATCAAATAAATACTTGGCAGAAGCATCCTCAGAAACTTCTTTGTGATGTAAGCCTTCAACTAACGGAGTTGAAACTTCCTTTTGAGAGAGCAGTTTTGAAACAGTCTTTTTGTAGAAGCTGTCAATGGATAGTTGGAGCGATTTGAAGCCTATGTAGGAAAAGGAAATATCTTCACAGAAAAACTAGACAGAAGCATTCTCAGGAACTTGTTTGAGATGTGTGCATTCAACACACAGAGTTGAAAACTTATTTTTATAGAGAACTACTGAAACACTACTTTTGTAGAATCTGCTTGTGGATATTTGGAGCTGTTTGAGGATATCATTGGAAACGAGATATCTTCAAATCAAAACTACAGAGAAGCATTCTCAGAAGCCGCTTTGTGATGTGTGAATTCAACTCAGAGAGATGAACACCTCTTTAGAAAGGGCAGATTTGAAACAATCTTTTTCTAGAATCTGCAAGTGTTCATTTGGAGCGCTTTGAGGTCTATGGGGGGAAAGGGAACATCTTCACATAAAAATTAGGCAGAAGCATTCTCAGAAACTTCTCTGTGATGTATGCATTCAACTCACTGAGTTGATCCTTCCTTTTTGTGAGAGCAGTTTTGAAACAGTCTTCAGGTAGGATCTGCAAGTGGATATGTGGTGCAATTTGAAGACTATGTTGGAAAAGAAAATATCTTCACAGAAAAACTAGACAGAAGCCTTCTCAGGAACTTGCTTGGTATGTGTGCATTCAACTCACAGAGCTGAGCCTTTCTGTTGAGGGAGCTGTTTTGAAACAGTCTCTTTGTAGGATCTGCAAGTGGATATTTGGAGCGATTTCATGCCTATGGTGGAAAAGGAAATATCTTCACATAAAACTTGATGGAAACATTCCCAGAAACTGCGTTTTGATGTGTGCATTCAAAACACAGAGTTGAACATTTCTTTTGATAGAGCAGTACTGAAACACTCCTTTGGTAGAATCTGCTTGGGATATTTGGAGCTGTTTGAGGATATCGTTGGAAATGCGATAACTTCAAATGAAAACTAGACAGAAGCATTCTCAGAAACGACTTTGTGATGTGTGAATTCAACTCAGAGAGTTGAACACTTCTTTAGAAAGAGCAGTTCAGAAGCACTCTTTTTCTAGAATCTGCAAGTATATGTTTGGAGTGCTTTGAGGCCTATGGAGGAAAAGGAAACATCTTCACATAAAAAATAGGCACAAGCATTCTCAGAAACTTCTTTGTGATGTATGCATTCAACTCACGGAGTTGAACCTTGCTTTTGAGAGAGCAGTTTTGAAACAGTCTTTTTGTAGAATCTGCAAGTGGATATTTGGAGTGATTTGAAGCGTATGTTGGAAAAGGAAATCTCTTCACACAAAAAGTAGAAAGAAGTATTCTCAGGAACTTGTTTGTGATGTGTGCATCCAACACACAGAGTTGAACATTTCTTTTGATAGAACAGTAGTGAAATACTACTTTTGTAGTTTCTGCTTGTGGATATTTGGCGCTGCTTGAGGATTCCGTTGGAAACGAGATATCTTCAAATCAAAACTACAGAGAAGCATTCTCAGAAACCACTTTGTGATGTGTGAATTCAACTCAAGGTGTTGAACACTTCTTTAGAAAGAACAGGTTTGAAACCCTCTTTTTCCAGAATCTGCAAGTGTTCATTTGGAGCACTTTGAGACCTATGGTGGAAAAGAAAACAACTTCACATAAAAACTAGGCAGAAGCATTCTCAGAAACATCTTTTTGATGTATGCATTCAACTCACAGAGTTGAACTTTCCTTTTGAGAGAGCAGTTTTGAACCAGGCTTTTTGTAGAATCTGCAAGTAGACATTTGGAGTGATTTGAAGTCTATGTTGGAAAAGGATATGTCTTCACAGAAAAATTGTACAGAAGCAGTCTCAGGAACTTCTTTGTGATGTGTGCATTCAATTCACAGAGTTGAACCATCCTTTTGAGGGAGCAGTTTTGAATCAGACTTTTTGTAGAATCTGCAAGTGGATATTTGTAGCGATTTAAAGCCTACATTGGGAAAGGAAATATCTTCACAGAAAAACTAGACAGAAGAATTCTCAGGAACTCGTTTGAGATGTGTGCATTCAACTCACAGATTTGAACATTTCTTTTGATAAAGGAGTACTGAAACACTACTTTTGTAGAATCTGCTTCTGGATATTTGGTGCTGTTTGAGGATTTTGTTGGAAACGAGATATCTTCAAATAAAAATGAGATAGAAGCATTCTCTGAAACTGCTTTGTGAAGAGTGAATTCAAATCAGAGAGTTCAACACTTCTTTAGACAGAGCAGTTTTCAAACATTCTTTTTATAGAATCTGCAAGTGTTCATTTGGAGCGCTTTGAGGCCTATGTTGGAAAAGGAAGCATCTTCACATAAAAACTAGGCAGAAGCATTCTCAGAAACTTCTTTATGATGTATTCTTTCAACTAACTGAGTTGAACCTTCCTTTTGAGAGAACAGTTATGAAACAGTCTTTTTGTAGAATCTGCAAGTGGATATTTGGGGTGATTTGAAGCCTATGTTGGAAAAGTAAAAATCTTCATAGAAAAATTAGACAGAATCATTCTCAGGAACTTGTTTGAGATGTGTGCATTCAACTCACAGCGTTGAACATTTCTTTTGATAGAGCAGTACTGAAACACTACTTTTGTAGAATCTGCTTGTATATATTTGCAGCTCTTTGAGGATTTCGTTGGTAACGAGATATCTTCCAATAAAAACTAGACAGAAGCATTCTCAGAAACTGCTTAGTGATGTTTTAATTCAACTCAGAATGTTGAACACTTCTTTAGACAGAGTAGTTTTGAAACACTCTTTTTCTAGAATCTGCAATTGTTCATTTGGAGTGCTTTGAGGCCAATGGTGGAAAAGGAAACATCTTCACATAAAAACTAGGCAGAAACATTCTCAGAAACTTCTTTGTGATGTATGCATTAAACTCACGGAGTTGAACCTTCCTTTTGAGAGAGAAGTTTTGAAACAGTCTTTTTCGAGAATCTTCAAGTGGATATTTGGAGCGATTTGAAGAGTATGTTGGAAAAGGAATTATCTTCTCAGAAAAACTAGACATAAGCATTCTCAGGAACTTGTTTGAGATGTGTGAATTCAACTCACAGTGTTGAACATTTCCTTTGATAGAGTCATACTGAAACACTACTTTTGTAGAATCTGCTTGTGGATATTTGGAGTTGTTTGAGGATTTCGTTGTAAACGAGATATCTTCAAATAAAAACTACAGAGAAGCATTCTCAGAAACTACATTGTGATGTGTGAATTCAACTCAGTGAGTTGAAGAGTTCTTCAGATAGAACAGTTTTGAAACACTCTTTTTCTAGTATCTGAAAGTGTTCATTTGGAGCAGTTTGAGGCCTATGGTGGAAAAGGGAACATCTTGACATAAAAACTAGGCAGAAGCATTCTCAGAAATTTCTTTGTGATGAATGCATTCAACTCACAACGTTGATCCTTCCTTTTGAGAGAGCAGTTTTGAAACAATCTTTTGTAGAATCTGCAAGTGGATATTTGGAGCGATCTGAAGCCTATATTGGAAAAGAAAATATCTTCACAGAAAAACTAGACAGAAGCATTCTCAGGAACGTGTTTGGGATGTGTGAATTCAACTCACAGAGCTGAACCTTCCTGTTGAGAGAGCTGTTTTGAAACAGTCTCTTTTTAGGATCTGCAAGTGGATATTTGGAACGATTTCAGGCCAAGGGTGGAAAAGGAAATATCTTCACATAAAATCTTGACAGAAGCATTCTCAGAAACTCCTTTGTGACGTGTGCAGTCAACTCACAGAGTTGAACATTTCTTTTGATAGAGCAGTACTGAAACACTACTTTTGAAGAATCTGCTTGTGGATATTTGGAGCTGTTTGAGGATTTCGATGGAAACGAGATATCTTCAAATAAAAACTTAACAGAAGCATTCTCAGAAACTTCTTTGTGATGTGCGAATTCAACTCAGAGAATGGAACACTTCTTTAGAAAAAGCAGTTATGAAACACTCTTTTTCTATAATCTGCAAGTGTTCATTTGGAGCGCTTTGAGGCCTATGGTGGAAAAGGAAACATCTACACGTAAAAACTATGCAGAAGCATTCTCAGAAACTTCTTTGTGATGTATGCATTCAACTCACGGAGTTGAACCTTCCTTTTGAGAGAGCAGTTTTGAAACAGTCTTTTTAGTAGAATCAGCAAGTGAATATTTGGAGCGATTTGAAGCATATGTTTGAAAAGGAAATATCTTCATAGAAAAACTAGACAGAAGCATTCTCAGGAACTAGTTTGTGATGTGTGCATTCAACTCACAGAGGTGAACCTTCCTGTTGAGAGAGCTGTTTTGAAACAGTCTCTTTGTAGGATCTTCAAGTGACTATTTGGAGCGATTTCAGGAGTATTGTGGAAACGGAGATATCTTCACATAAAAGCTTGACAGAAGCATTCTCAGAAACTGCTTTGTGATGTGTTCATCCAACTTACAGAGTTGAACATTTCTATCTATAGAGCAGTACTGAAACACCACTTTTGAAGAATCTGCTTGTGGATATTTGGGGCTGTTTGAGGATTTCGTTGGAAACGAGTTATCTTCAAATAAAGACTAGACAGAAGCATTCTCAAAAACTGCTTTGTGATGTGTGAATTCAACTCAGAGTGTTGAAAACTTCTTTAGAAAGAGCAGTTTTGAGACCCTCTTTTTCTACTATATGAAAGTGTTCATTTGGAGCGCTTTGAGGCCTATGGTGGAAAACGAAACATCTTCACAAAAAAACTAGGCAGACGTATTCTCAGAAACTTCTTTCTGATGTATGCATTCAACTCACGGAGTTGAACATTCCTTTTGAGAGAGCAGTTTGGAAACAGTCTTTTTGGAGAATCTGCAAATGGATATTTGGAGCGATCTGAAGCCTATGTTGGAAAATGAAATATCTTCACAGAAAACTAGACAGAAGCATTCTCAGGAACTTGTTTGGGATGTGTCCATTCAACTCAAAGAGCTGAACATTTCTTTTGATAGAGCAGTACTGCAACACTACTTTTGTAGAATCTGCTTCTGGATTTTTGGAGCTCTTTGTGGATTTCGTTGGAAACAAAACATCTTCAAATATAAACTACAGAGAAGCATTCTCAGACACTGCAATGTGATGTGTGAATTCAACTCAGAGTGTTGAACATTTCTTTAGAAAGAGCAGTTTTGAAACACTCTTTCTAGAATCTGCAAGTTTTCATTTGGAGTGCTTTGAGGCCTATGGTGGAAAAGGAAGCAACTTCACATAAAAACTAGGCAGAAGCATTCTCAGAAACTACTTTGTGATGTATGCATTCATCTCACAGAGTTGAAACTTTCTTTTGAGAGAGCAGTTTTGAAACAGTCTTTTCGTAGAATCAGCAAGTGGATATTTGGAGGGATTTGAAGCATATGTTGGAAAAGAAAATCTTTTCACAGAAAAACTAGAAAGAAGCATTCTCAGGATCTTGTTTGTGATCTGTGTATTCAACTCACAGAGCTGAACCTTCCTGTTGAGAGAGCTGTTTTGAAACAGTCTCTTTGTAGGATCTCCAAGTGGATATTCGGAGCGATTTCAGGCATATGGTGGAACAGGAAATATCTTCAAAATAATGCTTGACAGAAGCATTCTCAGAAACTGCTTTGTGATGTTGCATTCAAATCACAGAGTTGAAAATTTCTGTTGATAGAGCGGTACTGAAACACTACTTTTGAAGTATCTGCTTGTGGATATTTGAGGATGTTTGAGGATTTCATTGGAAATGAGATATCTTCAAATAAAAATTAGACAGAAGCATTCTCAGAAACTGCTTTGTGATGTGTGAATTCAACTCAGAGAGTTGAACACTTCTTTAGAGAGAGCAGTTTTGAAACACTCTTTTTCCAATATCTGCAAGTGTTCATTTGGAGTGCTTTGAGGCCTATGGTGGAAAATGAAACAATTTCACATTAAAACTTGGTAGAAGCGTTCTCAGAAACTTCTTTGTGATGTATGCATTCAACTCACAGAGTTGAACCTTCCTTTTGAGAGAGAAGATTTGAAACTTCTTTTTGGAGAATCTGCAAGTGGATATTTGGAGCGATTTGAAGCCTATGTTGGAAAAGGAATTGTCTTCACAGAAAAACTAGACAGAAGCATTCTGAGGAACTTGTTTGTGATGTGTACATTCAACTCACAGAGCAGAACCTTCCTGTTGAGAGAGGTGTTTTGAAACAGTCTCCTTGTAGGATCTGTTAGTGGATATTTGGAGGGATTTCACACGTATGGTGGAAAAGGAAACATCTTCACATAAAAGCTTGACAGAAGCATTCTCAGAAACTGCTTTGTGATGTGTGCATTCAACTCACAGAGTTGAACATTTCTTTTGATAGAGCAGTACTGAAACACTACTTTTGTAGAATCTGCTTGTTTATATTGGGGCTGTTTGAGGATTTCATTGGAAACGAGATACCTTCAAAGAAAAACTACACAGAAGCATTCTAAGAAACTGCTTTGTGATGTGTTAATTCAACTCAGAGAGTTGAACCCTTCTTTAGAAAGAGCAGTTTTGAAACACTCTTTTCTACTATCTGCAAGGGTACCTTTGGAGCGCTTTGAGGCCTATGGTAGAAAAAGAACATCTTCACAAAAAAACTAGGCAGAAGCATTCTCAGGAACTTCTATATGATGTATGCATTCAACTCACTGAGTTGAATCTTCCTTTTCAGAGCGCAGTTTTGAAACAGTCTTTTTGTAGGATCTGCGTGTGGATATTTGGAGCGATTTTAAGCCTATGTTGTAAAAGGAAATCTCTTCACAGAAAAAGTAGACAAGAAGCATTCTCAGGAGCTAGTTTGAGATGTGTGCATTCAACTCACAGAGTTGAACATTACTTTTGATAGAGCAGTACTGAAACACTACTTTTGTGGAATCTGCTGGTGGATATTTGGAGTTGTTTGAGGATTTCTTTGGAAATGAGATATCTTCAAATAAAAGTTACAGAGAAGCATTCTCAGAAACTGCATTGTGATGTGTGAATACAACTCAGACAGTTGAACACTTCTTTAGAAAGAGCAGTTTTGAAACACTCTTTCTACAATTTGCAAGTGTTCATTTGGAGCACTTTGAGGCCTATGGGGGAAAAGGAAATATCTTCCCATAAAAACTAGGCAGAAGCATTCTCAGAAACTTGTTTGTGAGGTATGCATTCAACTCACGGAGTTGAACCTTCCTTTTGAGAGAGCAGTTTTCAAACAGTCTTTCTGAAGAAACTGCAAGTGGATATTTGGAGTGATTTGAAGACTGTGTTGGAAAATGAAATGTCTTCACAGAAAAAGTAGACAGAAGCATTCTTAGGAACTAGTTTGGGATGTGTGCATTCAAATCACAGAGTTCAACATTTCTTTTGATAGAGCAGTACTGAAACACTACTTTTGTAGAATCTGCTTGTGGATATTTGGAGCTGTTGGAGGATTTCATTGGAAACGAGATATCTCCTAATCAAAACTAAAGAGGAGCATCTCAGAAACTGCTTCGTGATGTGTGAATTCAACTCAGTGAGTTGAAAAATTCTTTATAAAGAGGAGTTTTGAAACACTCTTTTTCTAATATCTGCAAGTGTTCATTTGGAGCGCTTTGAGGCCTATGGTGGAAAAGGAAACATCTTCACATAAAAACTAGGCAGAAGCATTGTCAGAAACTTCTTTGTGATGTATGCATTCAACTCACAGAGTTGAACCTTCCTTTTGAGAGAGCAGTTTTGAAACAGTCCCTTTCTGGAATCTGCAAGTGGATATTTGGAGTGATTTGAAGCCTATGTTGGGATAAGGAAATCTCTTCACAGAAAAACTAGACAGAAGTATTCTCAGGAACTTGTTTGCGATGTGTGCATTCAACTCACAGACCTGAACCTTCCTGTTGAGGGAGCTGTTTTGAAACAGTTTCTTTCTAGGATCTGCAAGTGGATATTTGGAGCGATATCAGGCGTATGGTGGAAAAGGAAATATCTTCACAAAAACGCTTTACAGAAGCATTCTCAGAAACTGCTTCATGATGTGTGCATTCAACTCACAGAGTTGAACATATTTCTTTTGATAGAGCAGTACTGAAACACTACTTTTGAACGATCTCCTTTGGATATTTGGAGCTGTTGGAGGATTTCGTTGGAAAGGAGATATCTTCAAATAAAAACTAGACAGAAGCATTCTCAGAAACTGCTTTGTGATGTGTTAATTCACCTCACAGAGTTGAACATTTCTTTTCATAGAGCAGTACTGAAACACTACTTTTGAAAGATCTGCTTGTGGATATTTGGGGCTGTTTGAGGATTTCGTTGGAAATGAGACACCTTCAATTAAAAACTACAGAGAAGCATTCTCAGAAACTGCTTTGTGATGTGTGAATTCAACTCAGAGAGTTGAAAAGTTATTCAAAAAGAGCAGTTTTGAAACACTCTTTTTCTGGAATCCGCAAGTGTTCATTTGGAGCGCTTTGAGGCCTATGGTGGAAAAGGATACATCTTCACATAAAAACTAGGCAGACGCATTCTCAGAAACTTCTTTGTGATGTATGCATTCAACTCACAGAGTTGAACCATCCTTTTGAGAGAGCAGATTTGAAACAGTCTTTTTGAAGAAATTGAAAGTGCATATTTGGAGCGATTTGAAGCCTGTGTTGTAAAAGGAAATATTTTCATAGAAAAACTAGACAGAAGCATTCTCAGGAACTTGTTTGTGATGTGTGCATTCAACTCACAGAGTTGAACATTTCTTTTGATAGAGCAGTACTGGAACACTACTTTTGTAGAATCTGCTTGTGGATATTTGGAGCTGTTTGAGGATTTCGTTGGAAACGAGATATCTTCTAATCAAAACTACAGAGAAGCATTCTCAGAAACTGCTTTGTGATGTGTGAATTCAACTCAGAGAGTTGAACACTTCTTTAGAAAGAGAAGTTTTGAAACACTCTTTTTCTATTATCTGAAAGTATTCATTTGGAGCGCTTTGAAGCCTATTGTGGAAATCGAAACTTCTTCACATAAAAACTAGGCAGAAGCATTCTCAGAAACTTCTTTGTGATGTATGCATTCAACTCACAGAGTTGAACCTTCCTTTTGAGAGAGCAGTTTTGAAACAGTCCTTTTGTAGAATCTGCAAGTGGATATTTGGAGCGATTCGAAGCCTATGTTGGGAAAGGAAATCTCTTCACAGAAAAACTAGATAGAAGCATTCTCAGGACCTTGTTTGTGATGTGTGCATTCAACTCACAGACCTGAACCTTCCTGTTAAGAGTGCTGTTTTGAAACATTGTCTTTATAGGATCTGCAAATGGATATTTGGAGCGATTTAAGGCGTATGGTTGAAAAGGAAATATCTTCACAAAAAAGCTAGACAGAAGCATTCTCAGAAACTGCTTCGTGATGTATCCATTCAACTCACAGAGTTTAACTTTTTTTGATACAGCAGTACTGAAACACTACTTTTGAAGGATCTGATTGTGGACATTTGGAGCTGTTGGAGGATTTAGTTGGAAAAGATATATCTTGAAATAAAAACTAGACAGAAGCATTCACAGAAACTGCTTTTTGATATGTGAATTCAACTCAGAGAGTTGAGCACTTCTTTAGAAAGAGCAGTTTTGAAACACTCTTTTTTTAGTATGTGCAAGTGTTCACTTGGAGCGCTTTGAGGCCTATGGTGGAAAAGGAAACATCTTCACATAAAAACTAGGCAGAAGCATTCTCAGAAACTTCTTTGTGATGTATGCATTCAACTCACGGAGTTGAACCTTCCTTTTGAGAGAGCAGTTTTGAAACAGTCTTTTTGAAGAAACTGCAAGTGGGTATTTGGAGCGAATTGAAGCCTATGTTGGAAAAGGAAATCTCTTCACAGAAAAACTAGACAGAAGCATTCTCAGGACCTTGTTTGAGATGTGTGCATTCATCTCACAGAGTTGAACATTTCTTTTGATAGAGCAGTACTGAAACACTACTTTTGTAGAATCTGCTTGTGGATATTTGGAGCTGTTTGAGTATTTCATTGGAAACGAGACATCTTCAATTAAAAACTACAGAGAAGCATTCTCAGAAACTGCATTGTGATGTGTGAATTCAACTCAGAGATGTGAACACTTCTTTAGAAAGAGCAGTTTTGAAACACTCTTTCTAGAATCTGCAAGAGTTCATTTGTAGCGCTTTGAGGCCTATGGTGGAAAAGGAAACATCTTCACATAAAAACTAGGCAGAAGCATTCCCATAAACTTCTTTGTGATGTATGCATTCAACTCACAGAGTTGAACCTTCCTTTTGAGAGGACATTTTTGAAAGAGTCTTTTGTAGGGTCTGCAAGTGGATATTTCATGCGATTTGAAGCCTGTGTTGTAGAAGGAAATATCTTCACAGAAAAACGAGACAGAAGCATTCTCAGGAACTTGTTTGTGATGTGTGCATTCAACTCACAGTGTTGAACATTTCTTTTGATAGAGCAGTACTTAAAAACTACTTTTTTAGAATCTGCTTTTGGATATTTGGAGCTGTTTGAGGATTTCGTTGGAACCGAGGTATCTTCTAATCAAAACTACAGAGAAGCATTCTCAGAAACTGCTTTGTGATGTGTGAATTCTACTCAGATAGTTGAACACTTCTTTAGAAAGAGCAGTTTTGGAACACTCTTTTTATTATCTGCAAGTGTTCACTTGGAGTGCTTTGAGGCCTATGGTGGAAAAGAAACATCTTCAAATAAAAACTAGGCAGAAGCATTTTCAGAAACTTCTTTGTGATGTATGCATTCAACTCACGGAGTTGAACCTTCCTTTTGAGAGAGCAGTTTTGAAACAGTCTTTTTGAAGAAACTGCAAGTGGATATTTGGAGCGAATTGAAGACTATGTTGGAAAAGGAAATATCTTCACAGAAAAACCATACAGAAGCATTCTCAGGACCTTGTTTGAGATGTATGGATTCAACTCACAGAGTTCAACATTTCTTTTCATATAGCAGTAATGAAACACTACTGTTGTAGAATCTGCTTCAGGATACTTGGAGCTGTTTGAGGATTTCGTTGGAAATAAGACATCTTCAATTAAAAACTACAGAGAAGCATTCTCAGAAACTACATTGTGATGTGTGAATTCAACTCAGAGAGTTGAACACTTCTTTAGAAAGAGCAGTTTTGAAACACTCTTTCTAGAATCTGCAAGAGTTCATTTGTAGCGCTTTGAGGCCTATGATGGAAAAGGATATATCTTCACATAAACACTAGGCAGAAGCATTCTCAGAAACTCCTTTGTGACGTATGCATTAAACTAACAGAGTTGAGCCTTCCTCTTGAGACAGCAGTTTTGAAAATCTTTCTGTAGAATCTGCAAGTGGATATATGGAGCGATTTGCAGCCTATGTTGGAAAAAGAAATCTCTTCACAGAAAAACTAGACAGAAACATTCTCAGGAACTTGTTTGTGATGTGTGCATTCAACTCACAGAGCTGAACATTCCTGTTAAGAGAGGTGTTTTGAAACAGTCTACTTGTAGGATCTGCAAGTGGATATTTGGTGCGATTTCAGGCGTATGGTGGAAAAGGAAATATGTTCACATAAAAGCTTGACAGAAGCATTCTCAGAAACTTCTTTGTGATGTGTGCATTCCACTCACAGAGTTGAACATTTCTTTTGATAGAGCAGTACTGAAACACTACTTTTGAAAGATCTGCTTGTGGATATTTGGGGCTGTTTGAGGATTTCGTTGGGAACGAGGTATCTTCAAATAAAAACTAGACAGAAGAATTCTCAGAAACTGCTTTGTGATGTGTGAATTCAACTCAGTGAGTTGAACACTTCTTTAGAAAGACCAGTTTTGAAACACTCTTTTTCTAGTATCTGAAAGTGTTCATTTGGAGCACTTTGCGGCCCATGGTGGAAAACGAAACATTCCCACATAAAAACTAGGCAGAAGCACTCTCAGAAACTTCTTTGTGATGTATGAATTCACCTCACCAAGTTGCACCTTCCTTTTGAGAGAGCAGTTTTGAAACAGTCTTTTTATAGAATCTGCAAGTGGATATTTGGAGGGATTTGATGCCTATGTTGGAAAATGAAATATCTTCACAGAAAAATTAGACAGAAGCATTCTCAAGAACTAGTTTGAGATGTGTGCATTAAAATCACAGAGTTGAACATTTCTTTTGATAGAGCAGTACTGAAACACTACTTTTGTGGAATCTGCTGGTGGATATTTGGAGCTGTTTGAGGATTTCTTTGGAAACGAGATATCTTCAAATAAAAACTAGACAGGCATTCTCAGAATCTGCATTGTGATGTGTGAATACAACTCAGACTGTTGAACACTTCTTTAGAAAGAGCAGATTTGAAACACTCTTTCTACAATCTGCAAGTGTTCATTTGAAGTGCTTTGAGGCCTATGGTGGAAAAGGAATCATCTTCACAAAAAAACTAGGCAAAAGCATTCTCAGAAACTTCTTTGGGATGTATGCATTCAACTGAACGAGTTGAACCATGCTTTTGAGAGAGCAGATTTGAAACAGTCTTTTTGAAGAAACTGAAAGTGGATATTTGGAGCGATTTGAAGCCTATATTGGAAAAGGAAATACCTTCACAGAAAAACTAGACCGAAACATTCTCAGGAACTAGTTTGAGATGTGTGCATTCAACTCACAGAGTTGAATATTTCTTTTGATAGAGCAGTACTGGAACACTACTTTTGTAGAATCTGCTTGTGGATATTTGGAGTGGTTCGAGGATTTCATTGTAAAGGAGACATCTTCAAATAAAAACTACAGAGAAGCATTCTCAGAAACTGCATTGTGATGTGTGAATTCAACTCAGAGAGTTGAACACTTCTTTAGAAAAAGCAGTTTTGAAACACTCTTTCTGGAATCCGCAAGTCTTCACTTAGAGCGCTTGGAGGCCTATGGTGGAAAAGAAAACATCTTCACATAAAAACTAGAAAGAAGCATTCCCAGAAACTTCTTTTTGATGTATGCATTCACCTCACAGAGTTGAACCTTCCTTTTGAGAGGGCAGTTTTGAAAAAGTCTTTTTGTAGAGTCTGCAAGTGGATATTTGGAGAGATTTGAGGCCTGTGTTGTAAAAGGAAATATCTTCACAGAAAAACTAGACAGAAGCATTCTCAGGAACTTGTTTGTGATGTGTGCATTCAACTCACAGAGTTGAAAATTTCTTTTGATAGAGCAGTACTGAAACAATACTTTTGTAGAATCTGCTTGTGGATACCTGGAGCTGTTTGAGGATTTCGTTGGAAACGAGATATCTTTTAATCAAAACTACAGAGAAGCATTCTCAGAAACTGCTTTGTGATGTGTGAAATCAACTCAGAGAGTTGAACACTTCTTTAGAAAGAGCAGTTTTGAAACACTCTTTTTCTGGAACCTGAAAGTGTTCTTTTGGGGCACTTTGAGGCCTATGGTGGAAAAGGAAACATCTTCACATAAAAACTAGGCAGAAGCATTCTCAGAAACTTCTTTGTGATGTATGCATTCAACTCATGGAGTTCAACCTTTCTTTTCAGGAGCAGTTTTGAAACAGTCTTTTTGAAGAAACTGCAAGTGGACTTTTGGAGCGAATTGAAGACTATGTTGGAAAAGGAAATATCTTCACAGAAAAAATAGACAGAAGCATTCTCAGGACCTTGTTTGCGATGTGTGCATTCAACACACAGAGTTGAACATTTCTTTTGATATAGCAGTACTGAAACACTACTTTTGTAGAATCTGCTTCAGGATACTTGGAGCTGTTTGAGGATTTCGTCGGAAACGAGACATTTTCAATTAAAATCTTCAGAGAAGCATTCTCAGAAACTGCATTGTGATGTGTGAATTCAACTCAGAGTGGTGAACACTTCTTTAGAAAGCGCAGTTTTGAAACACTTTTTCTAGAATCTGCAAGAGTTCATTTGTAGCACTTTGAGGCCTACGGTGGAAAAGGAAACATCTTCACATAAAAACTAGGCAGAAGCGTTCTCAGAAACTCCTTTGTGATGTATGCATTCAACTCACGGAGTTGAACCTTTCTCTTGAGAGAGCAGTTTTGAAAGAGTCTTTTTGTAGAATCTGTAAGCGGATATATGGAGCGATTTGAAGCCTATTTTGGAAAAAGAAATCTCTTCACAGAAAAACTAGACAGAAGCATTCTCAGGAACTTGTTTGTGATGTATGCATTCAACTCACAGACCTGAACCTTCCTGTTGAGGGAGCTGTTTTGAAACAGTGTGTTTGTAGGATCTGCAAGTGGATATTTGGAGAGATTTCAGGCATATGGTGGAAAATGAAATGTCTTCACAAAAAAGCTTGACAGAGGCATTCTCAGAAACTGCTTCGTGATGTGTGCATTCAACTCAGAGTGTTGAACATTTGTTTTGGTAGAGCAGTACTGAAACACATCTTTTGAAGGATCTGCTTGTGGATATTTGGAGCTGTTGGAGGATTTCGTTGAAATTGATATATCTTCAAATAAAAACTAGACAGAAACATTCTCAGAAACTGCTTTGTGATGTGTGAATTCAACTCAGAGAGTTGAACAATTCTGTAGAAAGAGCAGTTTTGAAACACTCTCTTTCTAGAATCTGCAAGTGTTCATTTGGAGTGCTTTGAGGCCTGTGGTGGAAAAGGAAACATCTTCACATAAAAACCAGGCAGAATCATTCTCAGAAACTTCTTTGTGATGTACGCATTTAGCTCATGGAGTTGAACCTTCCTTTTGAGAGAGCAGTTTTGAAACAGTCTTTTTCAAGAAACTGCAAGTGGATATTTGGAGCGATTTGAAGAATACGTTGGAAAAGGAAATCTCTACACAGAAAAACTAGACAGAAGCATTCTCAGGAACTTGTTTGTGATGTGTGCATTCAACTCACAGAGCTGAACCTTCCTGTTGGGAGAGTTGTTCTGAAACAGTTTCCTTGTAGAATCTGCAAGTGGATATTTGGAGCGATTTCAGGAGTATTGTGGAAAAGGAAATATCTTCACATAAAAGCTTGACAGAAGCATTCTCAGAAACTGCTTTGTGATGTGTTAATTCAACTCACAGAGTTGAACATTTCTTTTCATAGAGCAGTACTGAAACACTACTTTTGAAAGATCTGCTTGTGGATATTTGGGGCTGTTTGAGGATTTCGTTGGAAATGAGACACCTTCAATTAAAAACTACAGAGAAGCATTCTCAGAAACTGCATTGTGATGTGTGAATTCAACTCAGAAGGGTGAGCACATCTTTAAAAAGAGCAGTTTTGAAACACTCTTTTTAAAATCTGCAAGAGTTCATTTTTGGCACTTTGAGGCCTATGCTGGAAAAGGAAACATCTTCACATAAAAACTAGGCAGAAGCATTCTCAGAAACTTCTTTGTGATGTATGCATTCAACTCACAAAGTTGAACCTTCCACTTGAGAGATCAGCTTTGAAAGAGTCTTTTTGTAGAATCTGCAAGTGGATATATGGAGAGAATTGCAGCCTATGTTGGAAAAAGAAATCTCTTCACAGAAAAACTAGACAGAAGCAATCTCAGGAACTTGTTTGTGATGTGTGCATTCACCTCACAGAGCTGAACCTTCCTGTTAAGAGAGGTGTTTTGAAACAGTCTACTTGTAGGATCTGCAAGTGGATATTTGGTGCGATTTCAGGCGTATGGTGGAAAAGGAAATATGTTCACATAAAAGCTTGACAGAAGCATTCTCAGAAACTGCTTTGTGATGTGTGTATTCCCCTCACAGAGTTGCATATTTCTTTTGATAGACGAGTACTGAAACACTACTTTTGAAAGATCTGCTTGTGGATATTTGGGGCTGTTTGAGGATTTCGTTGGGAACGAGGTATCTTCAAATAAAAACTAGACAGAAGCATTCTCTGAAACTGCTTTGTGATGTGTGAATACAACTCAGAGAGTTGAAAACTATTTTAGAAAGAGCAGTTTTGAAACACTGCTTTTCTAGTATCTGAAAGTGTTCATTTAGTGCGCTTTGAGGCCTATGGTGGAAAACGAAACATCTTCACATAAAAACTAGTCAGAAGTATTCTCAGAGACTTCTTTGTGATGCATGCATTCAACACACGAAGTTGAACCTTTCTTTGGAGAGAGCAGATTTGAAACAGTCTTTTTATAGAATCTGCAAGTGGATATTTGGAGCTATTTGAAGCCTATGTTGGCAAAGGAAATATCTTCACAGAAAAACTAGACAGAAGCATTCTCAGGACCTTGTTTGTGATGTGTCCATTCAACTGACAGAGTTGAACATTTCTTTTGATAGGGCAGTACTGAAACACTACTTTTGAAGGATCTGCTTGTGTATATTTTTAGCTCTTGGAGGATTTCGTTGGAAACGAGATAACTTCAAATAAAAACTAGACAGAAGCATTCTTAGAAACTGCTTATTGATGTGTGAATTCAACTCAGAGAGTTGAACAATTCTTTAGAAAGAGCAGTTTTGAAACACTCTTTTCTTAGTATCTCCAAGTGTTCACTTACAGTGCTTTGAGGCCTACGGTGGAAAAGGAAACATCTTCACATAAAAACTAGGCAGAGGCATTCTCAGAACCACTTTGTGATCTATGCATTCAACTTACGGAATTTAACCTTCCTTTTGAGATAGCAGTTTTGAAACAGTCTTTTTGAAGAAAGTGCAAGTGGATATTTGGAGCGATTTGAAGCCTATGTTGGAAAAGGAAATATCTTCACAGAAAAACAAGACAGAAGCATTCTCAGGACCTTGTTTGAGATGTGTGCATTCAACTCCCAGAGTTGAATATATCTTTTCATAGAGCAGTACTGAAACACTATTTTTGTAGAATCTGCTTGTGGATATATGGAGCAATTTGAGGATTTCCTTGGAAATGAGATATCTTATAATCAAAACTCAAGAGAAGCATTCTCAGAAACTGCTTTGTGATGTGTGTATTCAACTCAGTGAGTTGAAAACTTCTTTAGAAAGAACAGTGTTGAAACACTCTTTTTCTAATATCTGCAAGTGTTCATTCGGAGTGCCTTGAGGCCTATGGTGCAAAAGGAAACATCTTCACATAAAAACTAGGCAGGAGCATTCTCAGAAACGTCTTTGTGATGTATGCATTCAACCCACAGAGTTGAACCATCCTTTTGAGAGAGCAGTTTTTGAAACTGTCTTTTTGTAGAATCTGCAAGTGGATATTTGGAGTATTTTGAAGCCTATGTTGGAAAAGGAAATCTCTTCACAGAAAAACTAGACAGAAGAATTCTCAGGAACTTCCTTGTGATGTGTGAATTCAACTCACATAGCTGAACCTTCCTGTTGGGAAAGGTGTTTTGAAAGAGTCTCCTTGTAGGATCTCTAAGTGGATATTTGGAGCGATTTCAGGGGTATGGTGGAAAAGGAAATATCTTCACATAAAAGCTTGACAGAAGCATTCTCAGAAACTGCTTTGTGATGTGGGCATTCACCTCACAGAGTTGAACATTTCTTTTGATAGAGAAGTACTGAAACACTACTTTTGAAGGATCTGCTTGTGGATATTTGGGGATCTAGGAGGATCTCTTTGGAAACGAGATATCTTCAAATAAAACCTAGACAGAAGCATTCTCAGAAACTCCTTTGTGATGTGTGAATTCAACTCAGAGAGTTGAACACTTCTTTAGAAAGAGCAGTTTTGAAACACTCTTTTCCTAGTATCAGCAAGTGTTCACTTGTGGCGCTTTAAGGCCTATGGTGGAAAAGGAAACATCTTCACATAAAACTAGGCAGAGGGGTCCTCAGAAAACACTTTGTGATCTATGCATTTAACTCACGGAAATAAACCTTCCTTTTGAGTTAGCAGTTTTGAAACAGTATTTTTGAAGAAACTGCAACCAGATATTTGGAGCGATTTGAAGCCTATGTTGGAAAATGAAATATCTTCACACAAAAACAAGACAGAAGCATTGTCAGAAACTTCTTTGTGATGATTGCATTCAACTCACGGAGTTCAAGATTCCTTTTGATACAGAAGTTTGGAAACACTCTTTCAGTGGGATCTGCAAGCGGATATTTGGCCCTCTGTGAAGATTTCGATGGAAAAGGTATAATCTTACCATAAAAGCTAAACGGAAGCATGCTCAGAGACTTCTTTGTGATGTTTGCATTCAACTCACAGAGTTGTACTTTCCTTTCGATAGAGCAGCTTTGAAAACCTCTCTTTCTAGAATCTGCAAGTCGACATTTGGAGGGCTTCGAGGCCTGTGGTGGAAAAGGAAATATCTACTCATAAAAGCTAGATGGAAGCATTCTCAGAAACTACTTTGTGATGACCGCTTTCAAGTCACAGAGTTGAACATTCCGTTTGAAAGAGCCGTTTGGAAACCAACTTTTGGTAGAATCAGCAAGGGGAGATTTGGACCGCTTTGAGGCCTAAGGCAGTAGAGGAAATCACTGCACATAAAAACTAGACAGTAGCATTCTCAGAAAACACTTTGTGACGATTGAGTTCAACCCACAGAGCTGAACATTGCTTTGGATGGAGCAGTTTCGAAACACACTTTTTGTGGAATCTGCAAGTGGGTATTTGGGCTTCTCTGAGGATTTCGTTGGAAAGGGATAAACTTCACATAACTAAACAGAAGCATTCTCAGAAAATTCTTCGTAATGTTGACATTCAACTCACAGAGTTGAACCTTCCCTTGTGAGTTCAGGTTGAAACACTCTTTTCGTAGTATCTGCAAGTGGAGATTTGGAACGCTTTGAGGCCTAAGGTAGTAAAGGAAATAGCTTCGTGTAAAAACTGGACAGAAGCATTCTCAGAAAATACTTTGTGATGATTGAGTTGAACCCACAGAGCTGAACATTCCTTTGGATGGAGCAGTTTTGAAACACACTTTTTGTAGAATCTGCAAGTGGATAGTTGGACCTCCCTGAGGATTTCGTTGGAAAAGGGATAACGTCACCTAACTGAACAGAAGCTTTCGCAGAAACTTCTTTCTGACGTTTGCATTCAAAGTCCAGAGTTGAAACTTCCTTTGATAGTTCACGTTTGAAACACTCTTTTTGTAGGATCTGCAAGTGGATATTTGGAGCAATTTGTGGCCCTCGTTCGAAACGGGTATATCTTCACATAAAATCCAGACAGAAGCCTTCTCAGAAACTTCTCTGTGATGATTGCATTCAACTCACAGAGTTGAACATTCCTTTGGATAGAGCAGTTTCGAAATTCTCTTTTTTCTAGAACCTGCTTATGGATAGGTGGAACTCTGTGAAGATTTATTTGCAAACGGGAATATCTTCACATAAAGAGTAAAGAGACGCCGTCTCAGAAACTTCTTTGTGAGGCATGTGTTCAACTCCCAGAGTGTAACCTTGCTTTTCATAGAGCAGTTTTGAAACATTCTTTTCGTAGAGTCTCCAAGTGGACATTTGGAGCGCTTTCAGGCCTGTGGTGGAAAAGGAAATATCTTCAGCTAAAAACTAGAGAGAAGCATTGTCAGAAACTTCTTTGTGATGATTGCATTCAACTCACGGAGTTGAAGGTTCCTTTTGACACAGCAGTTTGGAAACACTCTTTCGGTGGGAACTGCAAGCGGATATTTGGACCTCTTTGAAGATTTCGATGGAAAAGGGATAATCTTCCCATAAAAGCTAAACGGAAGCATGCTCAGAGACTTCTTTGTGATGTTTGCATTCAACTCACAGAGTTATACTTTCCTTTCGATAGAGCAGCTTTGAAACCCTCTCTTTCTAGAATCTGTAAGTGGACATTTGGAGGGCTTCGAGGCCTGTGGTGGAAAAGGAAATATCTACTCATAAAAGGTAGATGGAAGCATTCTCAGAAACTACTTTGTGATGGTTGCTTTCAACTCACAGAGTTGAACATTCCCTTTGATAGAGCCGTTTGGAAACACACTTTTGGTAGGATCTGCAAGGGGAGATTTGGACCGCTTTGAGGCCTATGGCAGTAGAGGAAATCACTGCCCATAAAAACTAGACCGTAGCATTCTCAGGAAACACTTTGTGACGATTGAGTTCAACCCACAGAGCTGAACATTGCTTTGGATGGAGCAGTTTCGAAACACACTTTTTGTGGAATCTGCAAGTGGGTACTTGGACTTCTCTGAGGATTTCATTGGAAACGGGATATACCTCACATAACTAAACAGAAGAATTCTCAGAAACTTATTCGTGATGTTGGCATTCAACTCACAGAGTTGAACCTTCCCTTGTTAGTTCAGGTTGAAACACTCTTTTCGTAGTATCTGCAAGTGGAGATTTGGAACGCTTTGAGGCCTACGATAGTAAAGGAAATAGCTTCGTGATAAAACTGGACAGAAGCATTCTCAGAAAATACTTTGTGATGATTTAGTTGAACTCACAGAGCTGAACATTCCTTTGGATGGAGCAGTTTTGAAACACACTTTTTGTAGAATCTGCAAGTGGATATTTGGAACTCCCTGAGGATTTCGTTGGAAACGGGATATCGTCACCTAACTGAACAGAAGCATTCGCAGAATCTTCTTTGTGAAGTTCGCATTCAAAGTCCAGAGTTGAAGCTTCCTTTGATACTTCACGTTTGAAACACTCTTTTTGTAGGATCTGCAAGTGGATATTTGGAGCACTTTGTGGCCCTCGTTCGAAACGGGTATATCTTCACATAAAATCCAGACAGAAGCCTTCTCAGAAACTTCTCTGTGATGATTGCATTCAACTCACAGAGTTGAACATTCCTTTGGATAGAGCAGTTTCGAAACTCTCTTTTTTCTAGAACCTGCACATGGATAGGTGGAAATCTGTGAAGATTTCTTTGCAAACGGGAATATCTTCACATAAAGAGTAAAGAGATGCCTTCTCAGAAACTTCTTTGTGAGGCATGTGTTCAACTCCCAGAGTTTAACCTTGCTTTTCATAGAGCAGTTTTGAAACATTCTTTTCGTAGAGTCTCCAAGTGGACATTTGGAGCGCTTTCAGGCCTGTGGTGGAAAAGGAAATATCTTCAGCTAAAAACTAGAGAGAAGCATTGTCAGAAACTTCTTTGTGATGATTGCATTCAACTCACGGTGTTGAAGGTTCCTTTTGATACAGCAGTTTGGAAACACTCTTTCAGTGGGATCTGCAAGCGGATATTTGGACCTCTTTGAAGATTTCGATGGAAAAGGGATAATCTTCCCATAAAAGCTAAACGGAAGCATGCTCAGAGACTTCTTTGTGATGTTTGCATTCAACTCACAGAGTTATACTTTCCTTTCGATAGAGCAGCTTTGAAACCCTCTCTTTCTAGAATCTGTAAGTGGACATTTGGAGGGCTTCGAGGCCTGTGGTGGAAAAGGAAATATCTACTCATAAAAGGTAGATGGAAGCATTCTCAGAAACTACTATGTAATGGTTGCTTTCAACTCACAGAGTTGAACATTCCCTTTGATAGAGCCGTTTGGAAACACACTTTTGGTAGAATCTGCAAGGGGAGATTTGGACCGCTTTGAGGCCTATGGCAGTAGAGGAAATCACTGCCCATAAAAAATAGACCGTAGCATTCTCAGGAAACACTTTGTGACGATTGAGTTCAACCCACAGAGCTGAACATTGCTTTGGATGGAGCAGTTTGGAAACACACTTTTTGTGGAATCTGCAAGTGGGTATTTGGACTTCTCTGAGGATTTCGTTGGAAACGGGATAAACCTCACATAACTAAACAGAAGCATTCTCAGAAACTTCTTCGTGATGTTGGCATTCGACTCACAGAGTTGAACCTTCCCTTGTGAGTGCAGGGTGAAACACTCTTTTCGTAGTATCTGCAAGTGGAGATTTGGAACGCTTTGAGGCCTAAGCTAGTAAAGGATATAGCTTCGTGTTAAAACTGGACAGAAGCATTCTCAGAAAATACTTTGTGATGATTTAGTTGAACTCACAGAGCTGAACATTCCTTTGGATGGAGCAGTTTTGAAACACACTTTTTGTAGAATCTGCAAGTGGATATTTGGAACTCCCTGAGGATTTCATTGGAAACGGGATAACGTCACCTAACTGAACAGAAGCTTTCGCAGAAACTTCTTTGTGACGTTTGCATTCAAAGTCCAGAGTTGAACCTTCCTTTGATAGTTCACGTTTGAAACACTCTTTTTGTAGGATCTGCAAGTGGATATTTGGAGCACTGTGTGGCCCTCGTTCGAAACGGGTATATCATCACATAAAATCCAGACAGAAGCCTTCTCAGAAACTTCTCTGTGATGATTGCATTCAACTCACAGAGTTGAACATTCCTTTGGATAGAGCAGTTTCGAAACTCTCTTTTTTCTAGAACCTGCACATGGATAGGTGGAACTCTGTGAAGATTTCTTTGCAAACGGGAATATCTTCACATAAAGAGTAAAGAGATGCCTTCTCAGAAACTTCTTTGTGAGGCATGTGTTCAACTCCCAGAGTTTAACCTTGCTTTTCATAGAGCACTTTTGAAACATTCTTTTCGTAGAGTCTCCGTGTGGACATTTGGAGCGCTTTCAGGCCTGTGGTGGAAAAGGAAATATCTTCAGCTAAAAACTAGAGAGAAGCATTGTCAGAAACTTCTTTGTCATGATTGCATTCAACTCACAGAGTTGTAGGTTCCTTTTGATACAGCAGTTTGGAAACACTCTTTCGGTGGGAACTGCAAGCGGATATTTGGACCTCTTTGAAGATTTCGATGGAAAAGGGATAATCTTCCCATAAAAGCTAAACGGAAGCATGCTCAGAGACTTCTTTGTGATGTTTGCATTCAACTCACAGAGTTATACTTTCCTTTCGATAGAACAGCTTTGAAACCCTCTCTTTCTAGAATCTGTAAGTGGACATTTGGAGGGCTTCGAGGCCTGTGGTGGAAAAGGAAATATCTACTCATAAAAGGTAGATGGAAGCATTCTCAGAAACTACTTTGTGATGGTTGCTTTCAACTCACAGAGTTGAACATTCCGTTTGATAGAGCCGTTTGGAAACACACTTTTGGTAGAATCTGCAAGGGGAGATTTGGACCGCTTTGAGGCCTATGGCAGTAGAGGAAATCACTGCCCATAAAAAATAGACCGTAGCATTCTCAGGAAACACTTTGTGACGATTGAGTTCAACCCACAGAGCTGAACATTGCTTTGGATGGAGCAGTTTGGAAACACACTTTTTGTGGAATCTGCAAGTGGGTATTTGGACTTCTCTGAGGATTTCCTTGGAAACGGGATAAACCTCACATAACTAAACAGAAGCATTCTCAGAAACTTCTTCGTGATGTTGGCATTCAACTCACAGAGTTGAACCTTCCCTTGTGAGTTCAGGGTGAAACACTCTTTTCGTAGTATCTGCAAGTGGAGATTTGGAATGCTTTGAGGCCTAAGCTAGTAAAGGATATAACTTCGTGTTAAAACTGGACAGAAGCATTCTCAGAAAATACTTTGTGATGATTTAGTTGAAGTCACAGAGCTGAACATTCCTTTGGATGGAGCAGTTTTGAAACACACTTTTTGTAGAATCTGCAAGTGGATATTTGGAACTCCCTGAGGATTTCATTGGAAACGGGATAACGTCACCTAACTGAACAGAAGCTTTCGCAGAAACTTCTTTGTGACGTTTGCATTCAAAGTCCAGAGTTGAACCTTCCTTTGATAGTTCACGTTTGAAACACTCTTTTTGTAGGATCTGCAAGTGGATATTTGGAGCACTTTGTGGCCCTCGTTCGAAACGGGTATATCTTCACATAAAATCCAGACAGAAGCCTTCTCAGAAACTTCTCTGTGATGATTGCATTCAACTCACAGAGTTGAACATTCTTTTGGATAGAGCAGTTTTGAAACTCTCTTTTTTCTAGAACCTGCACATGGATAGGTGGAACTCTGTGAAGATTTCTTTGCAAACGGGAATATCTTCACATAAAGAGTAAAGAAATGCCTTCTCAGAAACTTCTTTGTGAGGCATGTGTTCAACTCCCAGAGTTTAACCTTGCTTTTCATAGAGCACTTTTGAAACATTCTTTTCGTAGAGTCTCCGTGTGGACATTTGGAGCGCTTTCAGGCCTGTGGTGGAAAAGGAAATATCTTCAGCTAAAAACTAGAGAGAAGCATTGTCAGAAACTTCTTTGTGATGATTGCATTCAACTCACGGAGTTGAAGGTTCCTTTTGATACAGCAGTTTGGAAACACTCTTTCGGTGGGAACTGCAAGCGGATATTTGGACCTCTTTGAAGATTTCGATGGGAAAGGGATAATCTTCCCATAAAAGCTAAACGGAAGCATGCTCAGAGACTTCTTTGTGATGTTTGCATTCAACTCACAGAGTTATACTTTCCTTTCGATAGAGCAGCTTTGAAACCCTCTCTTTCTAGAATCTGTAAGTGGACATTTGGAGGGCTTCGAGGCCTGTGGTGGAAAAGGAAATATCTACTCATAAAAGGTAGATGGAAGCATTCTCAGAAACTACTTTGTGATGGTTGCTTTCAACTCACAGAGTTGAACATTCCGTTTGATAGAGCCGTTTGGAAACACACTTTTGGTAGAATCTGCAAGGGGAGATTTGGACCGCTTTGAGGCCTATGGCAGTAGAGGAAATCACTGCCCATAAAAACTAGACCGTAGCATTCTCAGGAAACACTTTGTGACGATTGAGTTCAACCCACAGAGCTGAACATTGCTTTGGATGGAGCAGTTTGGAAACACACTTTTTGTGGAATCTGCAAGTGGGTATTTGGACTTCTCTGAGGATTTCGTTGGAAACGGGATAAACCTCACATAACTAAACAGAAGCATTCTCAGAAACTTCTTCGTGATGTTGGCATTCAACTCACAGAGTTGAACCTTCCCTTGTGAGTTCAGGGTGAAACACTCTTTTCGTAGTATCTGCAAGTGGAGATTTGGAACGCTTTGAGGCCTAAGCTAGTAAAGGATATAGCTTCGTGTAAAAACTGGACAGAAGCATTCTCAGAAAATACTTTGTGATGATTTAGTTGAACTCACAGAGCTGAACATTCCTTTGGATGGAGCAGTTTTGAAACACACTTTTTGTAGAATCTGCAAGTGGATATTTGGAACTCCCTGAGGATTTCGTTGGAAACGGGATAACGTCACCTAACTGAACAGAAGCTTTCGCAGAAACTTCTTTGTGACGTTTGCATTCAAAGTCCAGAGTTGAACCTTCCTTTGATAGTTCACGTTTGAAACACTCTTTTTGTAGGATCTGCAAGTGGATATTTGGAGCACTTTGTGGCCCTCGTTCGAAACGGGTATATCTTCACATAAAATCCAGACAGAAGCCTTCTCAGAAACTTCTCTGTGATGATTGCATTCAACTCACAGAGTTGAACATTCCTTTGGATAGAGCGGTTTCGAAACTCTCTTTTTTCTAGAACCTGCACATGGATAGGTGGAACTCTGTGAAGATTTCTTTGCAAACGGGAATATCTTCACATAAAGAGTAAAGAGATGCCTTCTCAGAAACTTCTTTGTGAGGCATGTGTTCAACTCCCAGAGTTTAACACTGCTTTTCATAGAGCAGTTTTGAAACATTCTTTTCGTAGAGTCTCCAAGTGGACATTTGGAGCGCTTTCAGGCCTGTGGTGGAAAAGGAAATATCTTCAGCTAAAAACTAGAGAGAAGCATTGTCAGAAACTTCTTTGTGATGATTGCATTCAACTCACGGAGTTGAAGGTTCCTTTTGATACAGCAGTTTGGAAACACTCTTTCAGTGGGAACTGCAAGCGGATATTTGGACCTCTTTGAAGATTTCGATGGAAAAGGGATAATCTTCCCATAAAAGCTAAACGGAAGCATGCTCAGAGACTTCTTTGTGATGTTTGCATTCAACTCACAGAGTTATACTTTCCTTTCGATAGAGCAGCTTTGAAACCCTCTCTTTCTAGAATCTGTAAGTGGACATTTGGAGGGCTTCGAGGCCTGTGGTGGAAAAGGAAATATCTACTCATAAAAGGTAGATGGAAGCATTCTCAGAAACTACTTTGTGATGGTTGCTTTCAACTCACAGAGTTGAACATTCCCTTTGATAGAGCCGTTTGGAAACACACTGTTGGTAGAATCTGCAAGGGGAGATTTGGACCGCTTTGAGGCCTATGGCAGTAGAGGAAATCACTGCCCATAAAAACTAGACCGTAGCATTCTCAGGAAACACTTTGTGACGATTGAGTTCAACCCACAGAGCTGAACATTGCTTTGGATGGAGCAGTTTGGAAACACACTTTTTGTGGAATCTGCAAGTGGGTATATGGACTTCTCTGAGGATTTCATTGGAAACGGGATAAACCTCACATAACTAAACGGAAGCATTCTCAGAAACTTCTTCGTGATGTTGGCATCAACTCC
>NC_000001.11:124849229-124932724 GCF_000001405.40 Homo sapiens | reverse complement strand
TCTGTTTACTCTTTATGTGAAGATATTCCCGTTTCCAAAGAAATCTTCACAGAGTTCCACCTATCCATGGGCAGATTCTAGAGAAACAGAGTTTCGAAACTGCTCTATCCAAAGGAATGTTCAACTCTCTGAGTTGAATGCAATCATCACAGAGAGGTTACTGAGAAGGCTTCTGTCTGGATTTTAAGTGAAGATATACCCGTTTCGAACGAAGGCCACATAGTGCTCCAAATATCCACTTGCAGATCCTACAAAAAGAGAGTTTCAAACGTGAGCTATCGAAGGAAGGTTCAACTCTGGACTTTGAATGCAAACGTCCCAAAGAAGTTTCTGCGAAAGCTTCTGTTCAGTTAGGTGACGTTATCCCGTTTCCAACGAAATCTTCAGGGAGTTCCAAATATCCACTTGCAGATTCTACAAAAAGTGTGTTTCAAAACTGCTCCATCCAAAGGAATGTTCAGCTCTGTGAGTTCAACTAAACCATCACAAAGTATTCTCTGAGAATGCTTCTGTCCAGTTTTTACACGAAGCTATATCCTTTACTAGCTTAGGCCTCAAAGCGTTCCAAATCTCCACTTGCAGATACTACGAAAAGAGTGTTTCACCCTGAACTAACAAGAGAAGTTTCAACTCAGTGAGTTGAATGCCAACATCACGAAGAAGTTTCTGAGAATGCTTCTGTTTAGTTATGTGAGGTTTATCCCGTTTCCAAAGAAATCCTCAGAGAAGTCCAAATACCCACTTGCAGATTCCCCAAAAGTGTGTTTCCAAACTGCTCCATCCAAAGCAATGTTCAGCTCTGTGGGTTGAACTCAATCGTCACAAAGTGTTTCCTGAGAATGCTACGGTCTAGTTTTTATGGGCATTGATTTCCTCTACTGCCATAGGCCTCAAAGCGGTCCAAATCTCCCCTTGCAGATTCTACCAAAAGTGTGTTTCCAAACGGCTCTATCAAACGGAATGTTCAACTCTTTGAGTTGAAAGCAACCATCACAAAGTAGTTTCTGAGAATGCTTCCATCTACCTTTTATGAGTAGATATTTCCTTTTCCACCACAGGCCTCGAAGCCCTCCAAATGTCCACTTACAGATTCTAGAAAGAGAGGGTTTCAAAGCTGCTCTATCGAAAGGAAAGTATAACTCTGTGAGTTGAATGCAAACATCACAAAGAAGTCTCTGAGCATGCTTCCGTTTAGCTTTTATGGGAAGATTATCCCTTTTCCATCGAAATCTTCAAAGAGTTCCAAATATCTGCTTGCAGATCCCACTGAAAGAGTGTTTCCAAACTGCTGTATCAAAAGGAACCTTCAACTCCGTGAGTTGAATGCAATCATCACAAAGAAGTTTCTGACAATGCTTCTCTCTAGTTTTTAGCTGAAGATATTTCCTTTTCCACCACAGGCCTGAAAGCGCTCCACATGTCCACTTGGAGACTCTACGAAAAGAATGTTTCAAAAGTGCTCTATGAAAAGCAATGTTAAACTTTGGGAGTTGAACACATGCCTCACAAAGAAGTTTCTGAGAAGGCATCTCTTTACTCTTTATGTGAAGATATTCCAGTTTGCAAAGAAATCTTCACAGAGTTCCACCTATCCATGTGCAGGTTCTAGAAAAAAGAGAGTTTCGAAACTGCTCTCTCCAAAGGAATGTTCAACTCTGTGAGTTGAATGCAATCATCACAGAGAAGTTTCTGAGAAGGCTTCTGTCTGGATTTTATGTGAAGATATACCCGTTTCGAACGAAGGCCACATAGTGCTCCAAATATCCACTTGCAGATCCTACAAAAAGAGTGTTTCAAACGTGAGCTATCGAAGGAAGGTTCAACTCTGGACTTTGAATGCAAACGTCCCAAAGAAGTTTCTGCGAAAGCTTCTGTTTAGTTAGGTGACCTTATCCCGTTTCCAACGAAATCCTCAGAGAGGTCCAAATATCCACTTGCAGATGCTACAAAAAGTGTGTTTCAAAACTGCTCCATCCAAAGGAATGTTCAGCTCTGTGAGTTACACTCAATCATCACAAAGTATTTTCTGAGAATGCTTCTGTCCAGTTTTTACACGAAGCTATATCCTTTACTACCTTAGGCCTCAAAGCGTTCCAAATCTCCACTTGCAGATACTACGAAAAGAGTGTTTCACCCTGAACTCACAAGGGAAGTTTCAAATCTGGGAGTTGAATGCCAACATCACGAAGAAGTTTCTGAGAATGCTTCCGTTTAGTTATGTGAGGTTTATCCCGTTTCCAATGAAATCCTCAGAGAAGTCCATATACCCACTTGCAGATTCCACAAAAAGTGTGTTTCCAAACTGCTCCATCCAAAGCAATGTTCAGCTCTGTGGGTTGAACTCAATCGTCACAAAGTGTTTCCTGAGAATGCTACGGTCTAGTTTTTATGGGCAGTGATTTCCTCTACTGCCATAGGCCTCAAAGCGGTCCAAATCTCCCCTTGCAGATTCTACCAACAGTGTGTTTCCAAACGGCTCTATCAAAGGGAATGTTCAACTCTGTGAGTTGAAAGCAACCATCACAAAGTAGTTTCGGAGAATGCTTCCATCTACCTTTTATGAGTAGATATTTCCTTTTCCACCACAGGCCTCGAAGCCCTCCAAATGTCCACTTACAGACTCTAGAAAGAGAGGGTTTCAAAGCTGCTCTATCGAAAGGAAAGTATAACTCTGTGAGTTGAATGCAAACATCACAAAGAAGTCTCTGAGCATGCTTCCATTTGGCTTTTATGGGAATATTATCCCTTTCCCATCGAAATCTTCAAAGAGGTCCAAGTATCCGCTTGCAGTTCCCTCTGAAAGAGTGTTTCCAAGCTGCTGTATCAAAAGGAGCCTTCCACTCCGTGAGTTGAATGCAGTCATCACAAAGAAGTAGTCTCTGACAATGCTTCTCTCTAGTTTTTAGCTGAAGATATTTCCTTTTCCACCACAGGCCTGAAAGCGCTCCAAATGTCCACTTGGAGACTCTACGAAAAGAATGTTTCAAAAGTGCTCTATGAAAAGCAAGGTTAAACTCTGGGAGTTGAACACATGCCTCACAAAGAAGTTTCTGAGAAGGCATCTGTTTACTCTTTAAGTGAAGATATTCCCGTTTCCAAGGAAATCTTCACAGAGTTCCACCTATCCATGTGCAGATTCTAGAAAAAAGAGAGTTTCGAAACTGCTCTATCCAAAGGAATGTTCAACTCTGTGAGTTGCATGCAATCATCACAGAGAAGTTTCTGAGAAGGCTTCTGTCTGGATTTTATGTGAAGATATACCCGTTTCGAACGAGGGCCACAAAGTGCTCCAAATATCCACTTGCAGATCCTACAAAAAGAGTGTTTCAAACGTGAAGTATCAAAGGAAGCTTCAACTCTGGACTTTGAATGCATACGTCACAAAGAAATTTCTGCGGAAGCTCTGTTCAGTTAGGTGACGTTATCCCGTTTCCAACGAAATCTTCAGGGAGTTCCAAATATCCACTTGCAGATTCTACAAAAAGTGTGTTTCAAAACTGCTCCATCCAAAGGAATGTTCAGCTCTGTGAGTTCAACTAAACCATCACAAAGTATTCTCTGAGAATGCTTTCTGTCCAGTTTTCACACGAAGCTATATCCTTTACTACCTTAGGCCTCAAAGCGTTCCAAATCTCCACTTGCAGATACTACGAAAAGAGTGTTTCACCCTGAACTCACAAGGGAAGTTTCAAATCTGGGAGTTGAATGCCAACATCACGAAGAAGTTTCTGAGAATGCTTCTGTTTAGTTATGTGAGGTTTATCCCGTTTCCAACGAAATCCTCAGAGAATTCCAAATACCCACTTGCAGATTCCACAAAAAGTGTGTTTCCAAACTGCTCCATCCAAAGCAATGTTCAGCTCTGTGGGTTGAACTCAATCGTCACAAAGTGTTTCCTGAGAATGCTACGGTCTAGTTTTTATGGGCAGTGATTTCCTCTACAGCCATAGGCCTCAAAGCGGTCCAAATCTCCCCTTGCAGATTCTACCAACAGTGTGTTTCCAAACGGCTCTATCAAAAGGAATGTTCAACTCTGTGAGTTGAAAGCAACCATCACAAAGTAGTTTCTGAGAATGCTTCCATCTAGCTTTTATGAGTAGATAGTTGATTTTCCACCACAGGCCTCGAAACACTCCAAATGTGCACTTGCAGATTCTAGAAAGAGAGGGTTTCAAAGCTGCTCTATCAAAAGGAAAGTACAACTCTGGGAGTTGAATGCAAACATCACAAAGTAGTCTCTGAGCATGCTTCCATTTAGCTTTTATGGGAAGATTATCCCTTTTCCATCGAAATCTTCAAAGAGGTCCAAGTATCCGCTTGCAGGTCCCTCTGAAAGAGTGTTTCCAAGCTGCTGTATCAAAAGGAGCCTTCCACTCCGTGAGTTGAATGCAGTCATCACAAAGAAGAAGTCTCTGACAATGCTTCTCTCTAGTTTTTATGTGAAGATATTTCCTTTTCCACCACAGGCCTGAAAGCGCAACAAATGTCCACTTGGAGACCCTACGAAAAGAATGTTTCAAAACTGTTCTATGAAAAGCAAGGTTAAACTCTGGGAGTTGAAGACATGCCTCACAAAGAAGTTTCTGAGAAGGCATTTCTTTACTCTTTATGTGAAGATATTCCCGTTTGCAAAGAAATCTTCACAGAGTTCCACCTATCCATGTGCAGGTTCTAGAAAAAAGAGAGTTTCGAAACTGCTCTATCCAAAAGAATGTTCAACTCTGTGAGTTGAATGCAATCATCACAGAGAAGTTTCTGAGAAGGCTTCTGTCTGGATTTTATATGAAGATATACCCGTTTCGAACGAGGGCCACAAAGTGCTCCAAATATCCACTTGCAGATCCTACAAAAAGAGTGTTTCAAACGTCAACTATCAAAGGAAGGTTCAACTCTGGACTTTGAATGCAAACGTCACAAAGAAGTTTCTGCGAAAGCTTCTGTTCAGTTAGGTGACGTTATCCCGTTTCCAACGAAATCCTCAGGGAGTTCCAAATATCCACTTGCAGATTCTACAAAAAGTGTGTTTCAAAACTGCTCCATCCAAAGGAATGTTCAGCTCTGTGAGTTCAACTAAATCATCACAAAGTATTTTCTGAGAATGCTTCTGTCCAGTTTTTACACGAAGCTATATCCTTTACTACCTTAGGCCTCAAAGCGTTCCAAATCTCCACTTGCAGATACTACGAAAAGAGTGTTTCACCCTGAACTCACAAGGGAAGTTTCAAATCTGGGAGTTGAATGCCAACATCACGAAGAAGTTTCTGAGAATGCTTCTGTTTAGTTATGTGAGGTTTATCCCGTTTCCAACGAAATCCTCAGAGAAGTCCAAATACCCACTTGCAGATTCCACAAAAGTGTGTTTCCAAACTGCTCCATCCAAAGCAATGTTCAGCTCTGTGGGTTGAACTCAATCGTCACAAAGTGTTTCCTGAGAATGCTACGGTCTAGTTTTTATGGGCAGTGATTTCCTCTACTGCCATAGGCCTCAAAGCGGTCCAAATCTCCCCTTTGCAGATTCTACCAAAAGTGTGTTTCCAAACGGCTCTATCAAAGGGAATGTTCAACTCTGTGAGTTGAAAGCAACCATCACAAAGTAGTTTCTGAGAATGCTTCCATCTACCTTTTATGAGTAGATATTTCCTTTTCCACCACAGGCCTCGAAGCCCTCCAAATGTCCACTTACAGATTCTAGAAAGAGAGGGTTTCAAAGCTGCTCTATCGAAAGGAAAGTATAACTCTGTGAGTTGAATGCAAACATCACAAAGAAGTCTCTGAGCATGCTTCCGTTTAGCTTTTATGGGAAGATTATCCCTTTTCCATCGAAATCTTCAAAGAGGTCCAAATATCCGCTTGCAGATCCCACTGAAAGAGTGTTTCCAAACTGCTGTGTCAAAAGGAACCTTCAACTCCGTGAGTTGAATGCAATCATCACAAAGAAGTTTCTGACAATGCTTCTCTCTAGTTTTTAGCTGAAGATATTTCCTTTTCCACCACAGGCCTGAAAGCGCTCCAAATGTCCACTTGGAGACTCTACGAAAAGAATGTTTCAAAACTGCTCTATGAAAAGCAAGGTTACACTCTGGGAGTTGAACACATGCCTCACAAAGAAGTTTCTGAGACGGCGTCTGTTTACTCTTTATGTGAAGATATTCCCGTTTGCAAAGAAATCTTCACAGAGTTCCAGCTATCCATGTGCAGATTCTAGAGAAACAGAGTTTCGAAACTGCTCTGTCCAAAGGAATGTTCAACTCTCTGAGTTCAATGCAATCATCACAGAGAGGTTTCTGAGAAGGCTTCTGTCTTGTTTTTGTGTGAAGATATTTCATTTTCCAACATAGGCTTCAAATCGCTCCAAATATCTGGTTGCAGTTTCTTCAAAAATACTGTTTCAAAACTGCTAACTCAAAAGGAAGGTTTATTTCCGTGAGTTAAATGCATAGATCACAAAGTGTTTTCTGAGGACCCCTCTGTTTAGTTAGGTGACGTTATCCCGTTTCCAACGAAATCCTCAGAGAGGTCCAAATATCCACTTGCAGATGCTACAAAAAGTGTGTTTCAAAACTGCTCCATCCAAAGGAATGTTCAGCTCTGTGAGTTACACTCAAACATCACAAAGTATTTTCTGAGAATGCTTCTGTCCAGTTTTTACTCGAAGCTATTTCCTTTACTACCGTAGGCCACAAAGCGTTCCAAATCTCCACTTGCAGATACTACGAAAAGAGTGTTTCAACCTGAACTCACAAGGGACGGTTCAACTCTGTGAGTTGAATGCCAACATCACGAAGCAGTTCCTGACAATGCTTCTGTTTAGTTAGGTGAGGTTTATCCCGTTTCCAACGAAATCCTCAGAGAAGTCCAAATATCCACTTGCAGATCCTACAAAAAGTGTGTTTCGAAACTGCTCCATCCAAAGGAATGTTCAGCTCTGTGAGTTGAACTCAATCGTCACAAAGTGTTTCCTGAGAATGCTACTGTCTAGGTTTCATGGGCAGTGATTTCCTCTACTGCCTTAGGCTTCAAAGCGGTCCAAATCTCCCCTTGCAGATTCTACCAAAAGTGTGTTTCCAAACGGCTCTACCAAAGGGAATGTTCAACTCTGTGTCTTGAACGGAATCATCAAAATGTAGTTTCGGAGAATGCTTCCATCTAGCTTTTATGAGTAGATAGTTGATTTTCCACCACAGGCCTCGAAACCCTCCAAATGTCCACTTGCAGATTCTAGAAAGAGAGGGTTTCAAAGCTGCTCTATCAAAAGGAAAGTACAACTCTGGGAGTTGAATGCAAACATCACAAAGTAGTCTCTGAGCATGCTTCCATTTAGCTTTTATGGGAAGATTATCCCTTTTCCATCGAAATCTTCAAAGAGGTCCAAGTATCCGCTTGCAGGTCCCTCTGAAAGAGTGTTTCCAAGCTGCTGTATCAAAAGGAGCCTTCCACTCCGTGAGTTGAATGCAGTCATCACAAAGAAGAAGTCTCTGACAATGCTTCTCTCTAGTTTTTATGTGAAGATATTTCCTTTTCCACCACAGGCCTGAAAGCGCAACAAATGTCCACTTGGAGACTCTACGAAAAGAATGTTTCAAAACTGTTCTATGAAAAGCAAGGTTAAACTCTGGGAGTTGAACACATGCCTCACAAAGAAGTTTATGAGAAGGCATCTCTTTACTCTTTATGTGAAGATATTCCCGTTTGCAAAGAAATCTTCACAGAGTTCCACCTATCCATGTGCAGGTTCTAGAAAAAAGAGAGTTTCGAAACTGCTCTATCCAAAGGAATGTTCAACTCTGTGAGTTGAATGCAATCATCACAGAGAAGTTTCTGAGAAGGCTTCTGTCTGGATTTTATGTGATGATATACCCGTTTCGAACGAGGGCCACACAGTGCTCCAAATATCCACTTGCAGATCCTACAAAAAGAGTGTTTCAAACGTGAACTATCAAAGGAAGGTTCAACTCTGGACTTTGAATGCAAACGTCACAAAGAAGTTTCTGCGAAAGCTTCTGTTCAGTTAGGTGACGTTATCCCGTTTCCAACGAAATCCTCAGGGAGTTCCAAATATCCACTTGCAGATTCTACAAAAAGTGTGTTTCAAAACTGCTCCATCCAAAGGAATGTTCAGCTCTGTGAGTTCAACTAAATCATCACAATGTATTTTCTGAGAATGCTTCTGTCCAGTTTCCACACGAAGCTATATCCTTTACTACCTTATGCCTCAAAGCGTTCCAAATCTCCACTTGCAGATACTACGAAAAGAGTGTTTCACCCTGAACTCACAAGGGAAGGTTCAACTCTGGGAGTGGAATGCCAACATCACGAAGAAGTTTCTGAGAATGCTTCTGTTTAGTTAGGTGAGGTTTATCCCGTTTCCAACGAAATCCTCAGAGAAGTCCAAATATCCACTTGCAGATCCTACAAAAAGTGTGTTTCGAAACTGCTCCATCCAAAGGAATGTTCAGCTCTGTGAGTTGAACTCAATCGTCACAAAGTGTTTCCTGAGAATGCTACTGTCTAGTATTTCATGGGCAGTGATTTCCTCTACTGCCATAGGCTTCAAAGCGGTCCAAATCTCCCCTTGCAGATTCTACCAAAAGTGTGTTTCCAAACGGCTCTACCAAAGGGAATGTTCAACTCTGTGACTTGAAAGGAATCATCAAAATGTAGTTTCGGAGAATGCTTCCATCTAGCTTTTATGAGTAGATAGTTGATTTTCCACCACAGGCCTCGAAACCCTCCAAATGTCCACTTGCAGATTCTAGAAAGAGAGGGTTTCAAAGCTGCTCTATCAAAAGGAAAGTACAACTGCTGGGAGTTGAATGCAAACATCACAAAGTAGTCTGCTGAGCATGCTTCCGTTTAGCTTTTATGGGAAGATTATCCCTTTTCCATCGAAATCTTCAAAGAGGTCCAAATATCCGCTTGCAGATCCCACTGAAAGAGTGTTTCCAAACTGCTGTATCAAAAGGAACCTTCAACTCCGTGAGTTGAATGCAATCATCACAAAGAAGTTTCTGACAATGCTTCTCTCTAGTTTTTATGTGAATATATTTCCTTTTCCACCACAGGCCTGAAAGCGCAAGAAATGTCCACTTGGAGACTCTACGAAAAGAATGTTTCAAAACTGTTCTATGAAAAGCAAGGTTAAAATCTGGGAGTAGAACACATGCCTCACAAAGAAGTTTCTGAGAAGGCATCTCTTTACTCTTTATGTGAAGATATTCCCGTTTGCAAAGAAATCTTCACAGAGTTCCACCTATCCATGTGCAGGTTCTAGAAAAAAGAGAGTTTCGAAACCGCTCTATCCAAAGGAATGTTCAACTCTGTGAGTTGAATGCAATCATCACAGAGAAGTTTCTGAGAAGGCTTCTGTCTGGATTTTATGCGAAGATATACCCGTTTCGAACGAGGGCCACAAAGTGCTCCAAATATCCACTTGCAGATCCTACAAAAAGAGTGTTTCAAACGTGAACTATCAAAGGAAGGTTCAACTCTGGACTTTGAATGCAAACGTCACAAAGAAGTTTCTGCGAAAGCTTCTGTTCAGTTAGGTGACGTTATCCCGTTTCCAACGAAATCCTCAGGGAGTTCCAAATATCCACTTGCAGATTCTACAAAAAGTGTGTTTCAAAACTGCTCCATCCAAAGGAATGTTCAGCTCTGTGACTTCAACTAAATCATCACAAAGTATTTTCTGAGAATGCTTCTGTCCAGTTTTAACACGAAGCTATATCCTTTACTAGCTTAGGCCTCAAAGCGTTCCAAATCTCCACTTGCAGATACTACGAAAAGAGTGTTTCACCCTGAACTCACAAGGGAAGGTTCAACTCTGGGAGTTGAATGCCAACATCACGAAGAAGTTTCTGAGAATGCTTCTGTTTAGTTATGTGAGATTTATCCCGTTTCCAAAGAAATCCTCAGAGAAGTCCAAATACCCACTTGCACATTCCACAAAAAGTGTGTTTCCAAACTGCTCCATCCAAAGCAATGTTCAGCTCTGTGGGTTGAACTCAATCGTCACAAAGTGTTTCCTGAGAATGCTACGGTCTAGTTTTTATGGGCAGTGATTTCCTCTACTGCCATAGGCCTCAAAGCGGTCCAAATCTCCCCTTGCAGATTCTACCAACAGTGTGTTTCCAAACGGCTCTATCAAACGGAATGTTCAACTCTTTGAGTTGAAAGCAACCATCACAAATTTGTTTCTGAGAATGCTTCCATCTACCTTTTATGAGTAGATATTTCCTTTTCCACCACAGGCCTCGAAGCCCTCCAAATGTCCACTTACAGATTCTAGAAAGAGAGGGTTTCAAAGCTGCTCTATCGAAAGGAAAGTATAACTCTGTGAGTTGAATGGAAACATCACAAAGAAGTCTCTGAGCATGCTTCCGTTTAGCTTTTATGGGAAGATTATCCCTTTTCCATCGAAATCTTCAAAGAAGTCCAAATATCCGCTTGCAGATCCCACTGAAAGAGTGTTTCCAAACTGCTGTATCAAAAGGAACCTTCAACTCCGTGAGTTGAATGCAATCATCACAAAGAAGTTTCTGACAATGCTTCTCTCTAGTTTTTATGTGAAGATATTTCCTTTTCCACCACAGGCCTGAAAGCACTCCAAATGTCCACTTGGAGATTCTACGAAAAGAATGTTTCAAAACTGTTCTATGAAAAGCAAGGTTAAACTCTGGGAGTTGAACACATGCCTCACAAAGAAGTTTCTGAGAAGGCATCTGTTTACTCTTTATGTGAAGATATTCCCGTTTGCAAAGAAATCTTCACAGAGTTCCACCTATCCATGGGCAGATTCTAGAGAAACAGAGTTTCGAAACTGCTCTATCCAAAGGAAAGTTCAACTCTCTGAGTTGAATGCAATCATCACAGAGAGGTTTCTGAGAAGGCTTCTGTCTGGATTTTATGTGAAGATATACCCGTTTCGAACGAAGGCCACATAGTGCTCCAAATATCCACTTGCAGATCCTACAAAAAGAGAGTTTCAAACGTGAGCTATCGAAGGAAGGTTCAACTCTGGACTTTGAATGCAAACGTCCCAAAGAAGTTTCTGCGAAAGCTTCTGTTTAGTTAGGTGACGTTATCCCGTTTCCAACGAAATCCTCAGAGAGGTCCAAATATCCACTTGCAGATGCTACAAAAAGTGTGTTTCAAAACTGCTCCATCCAAAGGAATGTTCAGCCCTGTGAGTTACACTCAATCATCACAAAGTATTTTCTGAGAATGCTTCTGTCCAGTTTTTACACGAAGCTATTTCCTTTACTACCGTAGGCCTCAAAGCGTTCCAAATCTCCACTTGCAGATACTACGAGAAGAGTGTTTCAACTTGAACTCACAAGGGAATGTTCAACCCCGTGAGTTGAATGCCAACATCACGAAGAAGTTTCTGAGAATGCTTCTGTTTAGTTCTGTGAGGTTTATCCCGTTTCCAACGAAATCCTCAGAGAAGCCCAAACACCCACTTGCAGATTCTACAAAAAGTGTGTTTCGAAACTGCTCCATCCAAAACAATGTTCAGCTCTGTGGGTTGAACTCAATCGTCACAAAGTGTTTCCTGAGAATGCTACGGTCTAGTTTTTATGGGCAGTGATTTCCTCTACTGCCATAGGCCTCAAAGCGGTCCAAATCTCCCCTTGCAGATTCTACCAACAGTGTGTTTCCAAACGGCTCTATCAAAGGGAGTGTTCAACTCTGTGAGTTGAAAGCAACCATCACAAAGTAGTTTCTGAGAATGCTTCCATCTACCTTTTATGAGTAGATATTTCCTTTTCCACCACAGGCCTCGAAGCCCTCCAAATGTCCACTTACAGATTCTAGAAAGAGAGGGTTTCAAAGCTGCTCTATCGAAAGGAAAGTATAACTCGGTGAGTTGAATGCAAACATCACAAAGAAGTCTCTGAGCATGCTTCCGTTTAGCTTTTATGGGAAGATTATCCCTTTTCCATCGAAATCTTCAAAGAGGTCCAAATATCCGCTTGCAGATCCCACTGAAAGAGTGTTTCCAAACTGCTGTATCAAAAGGAACTTTCAACTCCGTGAGTTGAATGCAATCATCACAAAGAAGTTTCTGACAATGCTTCTCTCTAGTTTTTAGCTGAAGATATTTCCTTTTCCACCACAGGCCTGAAAGCGCTCCAAATGTCCACACGGAGACTCTACGAAAAGAATGTTTCAAAAGTGCTCTATGAAAAGCAAGGTTAAACTCTGGGAGTTGAACACATGCCTCACAAAGAAGTTTCTGAGAAGGCATCTCTTTACTCTTTATGTGAAGATATTCCCGTTTGCAAAGAAATCTTCACAGAGTTCCACCTATCCATGTGCAGGTTCTAGAAAAAAGAGAGTTTCAAAACTGCTCTATCCAAAGGAATGTTCAACTCTGTGAGTTGAATGCAATCATCACAGAGAAGTTTCTGAGAAGGCTTCTGTCTGGATTTTATGTGAAGATATACCCGTTTCGAACGAGGGCCACAAAGTGCTCCAAATATCCACTTGCAGATCCTACAAAAAGAGTGTTTCAAACGTGAAGTATCAAAGGAAGTTTCAACTCTGGACTTTGAATGCAAACGTCACAAAGAAGTTTCTGCGAAAGCTTCTGTTTAGTTAGGTGACGTTATCCCGTTTCCAACGAAATCCTCAGAGAGGTCCAAATATCCACTTGCAGATGCTACAAAAAGTGTGTTTCAAAACTCCTCCATCCAAAGGAATGTTCAGCTCTGTGAGTTACACTCAATCATCACAAAGTATTTTCTGAGAATTCTTCTGTCCAGTTTTTACTCGAAGCTATTTCCTTTACTACCGTAGGCCACAAAGCGTTCCAAATCTCCACTTGCAGATACTACGAAAAGAGTGTTTCAACCTGAACTCACAAGGGACGGTTCAACTCTGTGAGTTGAATGCCAACATCACGAAGAAGTTCCTGACAATGCTTCTGTTTAGTTATGTGAGGTTTATCCCGTTTCCAACGAAATCCTCAGAGAAGTCCAAATACCCACTTGCAGATTCCACAAAAAGTGTGTTTCCAAACTGCTCCATCCAAAGCAATGTTCAGCTCTGTGGGTTGAACTCAATCGTCACAAAGTGTTTCCTGAGAATGCTACGGTCTAGTTTTTATGGGCAGTGATTTCCTCTACTGCCATAGGCCTCAAAGCGGTCCAAATCTCCCCTTGCAGATTCTACCAAAAGTGTGTTTCCAAACGGCTCTATCAAACGGAATGTTCAACTCTTTGAGTTGAAAGCAACCATCACAAAGTAGTTTCTGAGAATGCTTCCATCTAGCTTTTATGAGTAGATATTTCCTTTTCCACCACAGGCCTCGAAGCCCTCCAAATGTCCACTTGCAGATTCTAGAAAGAGAGGGTTTCAAAGCTGCTCTATCAAAAGGAAAGTACAACTCTGGGAGTTGAATGCAAACATCACAAAGAAGTCTCTGAGCATGCTTCCATTTAGCTTTTATGGGAAGATTATCCCTTTTCCATCGAAATCTTCAAAGAGGTCCAAGTATCCGCTTGCAGGTCCCTCTGAAAGAGTGTTTCCAAGCTGCTGTATCAAAAGGAGCCTTCCACTCCGTGAGTTGAATGCAGTCATCACAAAGAAGAAGTCTCTGACAATGCTTCTCTCTAGTTTTTAGCTGAAGATATTTCCTTTTCCACCACAGGCCTGAAAGCGCTCCAAATGTCCACACGGAGACTCTACGAAAAGAATGTTTCAAAAGTGCTCTATGAAAAGCTAGGTTAAACTCTGGGAGTTGAACACATGCCTCACAAAGAAGTTTCTGAGAAGGCATCTCTTTACTCTTTATGTGAAGATATTCCCGTTTGCAAAGAAATCTTCACAGAGTTCCACCTATCCATGTTCAGGTTCTAGAAAAAAGAGAGTTTCGAAACTGCTCTATCCAAAGGAATGTTCAACTCTGTGAGTTGAATGCAATCATCACAGAGAAGTTTCTGAGAAGGCTTCTGTCTGGATTTTATGTGAAGATATACCCGTTTCGAACGAGGGCCACAAAGTGCTCCAAATATCCACTTGCAGATCCTACAAAAAGAGTGTTTCAAACGTGAAGTATCAAAGGAAGCTTCAACTCTGGACTTTGAATGCGAACTTCACAAAGAAGATTCTGCGAATGCTTCTGTTCAGTTAGGTGACGATATCCCGTTTCCAACGAAATCCTCAGGGAGTTCCAAATATCCACTTGCAGATTCTACAAAAAGTGTGTTTCAAAACTGCTCCATCCAAAGGAATGTTCAGCTCTGTGAGTTCAACTAAATCATCACAAAGTATTTTCTGAGAATGCTTCTGTCCAGTTTTCACACGAAGCTATATCCTTTACTACCTTAGGCCTCAAAGCGTTCCAAATCTCCACTTGCAGATACTACGAAAAGAGTGTTTCACCCTGAACTCACAAGGGAAAGTTCAACTCTGGGAGTTGAATGCCAACATCACGAAGAAGTTTCTGAGAATGCTTCTGTTTAGTTAGGTGAGGTTTATCCCGTTTCCAACGAAATCCTCACAGAAGTCCAAATATCCACTTGCAGATCCTACAAAAAGTGTGTTTCGAAACTGCTCCATCCAAAGGAATGTTCAGCTCTGTGAGTTGAACTCAATCGTCACAAAGTGTTTCCTGAGAATGCTACGGTCTAGTTTTTATGGACAGTGATTTCCTCTACTGCCATAGGCCTCAAAGCAGTCCAAATCTCCCCTTGCAAATTCTACCAAAAGTGTGTTTCCAAACGGCTCTATCAAACGGAATGTTCAACTCTTTGAGTTGAAAGCAACCATCACAAAGTAGTTTCTGAGAATGCTTCCATCTACCTTTTATGAGTAGATATTTCCTTTTCCACCACAGGCCTCGAAGCCCTCCAAATGTCCACTTACAGATTCTAGAAAGAGAGGGTTTCAAAGCTGTTCTATCGAAAGGAAAGTATATCTCTGTGAGTTGAATGCAAACATCACAAAGAAGTCTCTGAGCATGCTTCCGTTTAGCTTTTATGGGAAGATTATCCCTTTTCCATCGAAATCTTCAAAGAGGTCCAAATATCCGCTTGCAGTTCCCACTGAAAGAGTGTTTCCAAACTGCTGTATCAAAAGGAACCTTCAACTCCGTGAGTTGAATGCAATCATCACAAAGAAGTTTCTGACAATGCTTCTCTCTAGTTTTTAGCTGAAGATATTTCCTTTTCCACCACAGGCCTGAAAGCGCTCCTAATGTCCACACGGAGACTCTACGAAAAGAATGTTTCAAAAGTGCTCTATGAAAAGCAAGGTTAAACTCTGGGAGTTGAACACATGCCTCACAAAGAAGTTTCTGAGAAGGCATCTCTTTACTCTTTATGTGAAGATGTTCCCGTTTGCAAAGAAATCTTCACAGAGTTCCACCTATCCATGTGCAGGTTCTAGAAAAAAGAGAGTTTCGAAACTGCTCTATCCAAAGGAATGTTCAACTCTGTGAGTTGAAAGCAATCATCACAGAGAAGTTTCTGAGAAGGCTTCTGTCTGGATTTTATGTGAAGATATACCCGTTTCGAACGAGGGCCACAAAGTGCTCCAAATATCCACTTGCAGATCCTACAAAAAGAGTGTTTCAAACGTCAACTATCAAAGGAAGGTTCAACTCTGGACTTTGAATGCAAACGTCACAAAGAAGATTTGCGAAAGCTTCTGTTCAGTTAGGTGACGTTATCCCGTTTCCAACGAAATCCTCAGGGAGTTCCAAATATCCACTTGCAGATTCTACAAAAAGTGTGTTTCAAAACTGCTCCATCCAAAGGAATGTTCAGCTCTGTGAGTTCAACTAAACCATCACAAAGTATTCTCTGAAAATGCTTCTGTCCAGTTTTCACACGAAGCTATATCCTTTACTGCCTTAGGCCTCAAAGCGTTCCAAATCTCCACTTGCAGATACTACGAAAAGAGTGATTCACCCTGAACTCACAAGGGAAGGTTCAACTCTGGGAGTTGAATGCCAACATCACGAAGAAGTTTCTGAGAATGCTTCTGTTTAGTTATGTGAGGTTTATCCCGTTTCCAATGAAATCCTCAGAGAAGTCCAAATACCCACTTGCAGATTCCACAAAAAGTGTGTTTCCAAACTGCTCCATCCAAAGCAATGTTCAGCTCTGTGGGTTGAACTCAATCGTCACAAAGTGTTTCCTGAGAATGCTACTGTCTAGTTTTTATGGGCAGTGATTTCCTCTACTGCCATAGGCTTCAAAGCGGTCCAAATCTCCCCTTGCAGATTCTACCAAAAGTGTGTTTCCAAACGGCTCTACCAAAGGGAATGTTCAACTCTGTGACTTGAAAGGAATCATCAAAATGTAGTTTCGGAGAATGCTTCCATCTACCTTTTATGAGTAGATATTTCCTTTTCCACCACAGGCTTCGAAGCCCTCCAAATGTCCAGTTACAGATTCTAGAAAGAGAGGGTTTCAAAGCTGCTCTATCGAAAGGAAAGTATAACTCTGTGAGTTGAATGCAAACATCACAAAGAAGTCTGTGAGCATGCTTCCGTTTAGCTTTTATGGGAAGATTATCCCTTTTCCATCGAAATCTTCAAAGAGGTCCAAATATCTGCTTGCAGATCCCACTGAAAGAGTGTTTCCAAACTGCTGTATCAAAAGGAACCTTCAACTCCGTGAGTTGAATGCAATCATCCCAAAGAAGTTTCTGACAATGCTTCTCTGTAGTTTTTAGCTGAAGATATTTCCTTTTCCACCACAGGCCTGAAAGCGCTCCAAATGTCCACTTGGAGACTCTATGAAAAGAATGTTTCAAAACTGCTCTATGAAAAGCAAGGTTAAACTCTGAGAGTTCAACACATGCCTCACAAAGAAGTTTCTGAGAAGGCGTCTGTTTACTCTTTATGTGAAGATATTCCCGTTTGCAAAGAAATCTTCACAGAGTTCCACCTATCCATGTGCAGATTCTAGAGAAACAGAGTTTCGAAACTTCTCTATCCAAAGGAATGTTCAACTCTCTAAGTTGAATGCAATCATCACAGAGAGGTTCCTGAGAAGGCTTCTGTCTGGATTTTATGTGAAGATATACCCGTTTCGAACGAAGGACACAAAGTGCTCCAAATATCCACTAGCAGATCCTACAAAAAGAGTGTTTCAAACGTGAGCTATCGAAGGAAGGTTCAACTCTGGACTTTGAATGCAAACGTCCCAAAGAAGTTTCTGCGAAAGCTTCTGTTTAGTTAGGTGACGTTATCCCGTTTCCAACGAAATCCTCAGGGAGGTCCAACTGTCCACTTGCAGATTCTACAAAAAGTGTGTTTCAAAGCTGCTCCATCCAAAGGAATGTTCCGCTCTGTGAGTTCAACTCAATCATCTCGAAGTATTTTCTACGAATGCTTCTGTCCAGTTTTTACTCGAAGCTATTTCCTTTACTACCGTAGGCCACAAAGCGTTCCAAATCTCCACTTGCAGATACTACGAAAAGAGTGTTTCAACCTGAACTCACAAGGGACGGTTCAACTCTGTGAGTTGAATGCCAACATCACGAAGAAGTTCCTGAAAATGCTTCTGTTTAGTTATGTGAGGTTTATCCCGTTTCCAAAGAAATCCTCAGAGAAGTCCAAATACCCACTTGCAGATTCCCCAAAAGTGTGTTTCCAAACTGCTCCATCCAAAGCAATGTTCAGCTCTGTGGTTTGAACTCAATCGTCACAAAGTGTTTCCTGAGAATGCTACTGTCTACTTTTTATGGGCAGTGATTTCCTCTATTGCCATAGGCCTCAAAGCGGTCCAAATCTCCCCTTGCAGATTCTACCAAGAGTGTGTTTCCAAACGGCTCTATCAAAGGGAATATTCAACTCTGTGAGTTGAAAGCAACCATCACAAAGTGGTTTCTGAGAACGCTTCCATCTAGCTTTTATGAGTAGATATTTCCTTTTCCACCACAGGCCTCGAAACCCTCCAAATGTCCACTTGCAGATTCTACAAAGAGAGGGTTTCAAAGCTGCTCTATCAAAAGTAAAGTACAACTCTGGGAGTTGAATGCAAACATCACAAAGAAGTCTCTGAGCATGCTTCCGTTTAGCTTTTATGGGAAGATTATCCCTTTTCCATCGAAATCTCCAAAGAGGTCCAAATATCCACTTGCAGATCCCACTGAAAGAGTGTTTCCAAACTGCTGTATCAAAAGGAACCTTCAACTCCGGGAGTTGAATGCCATCATCACAAAGACGTTTCTGACAATGCCTCTCTCTAGTTTTTAGCTGAAGATATTTCCTTTTCCACCACAGGCCTGAAAGCGCTCCAAATGTCCACTTGGAGACTCTACGAAAAGAATGTTTCAAAAGTGCTCTATGAAAAGCAAGGTTAAACTCTGGGAGTTGAACACATGCCTCACAAAGAAGTTTCTGAGAAGGCATCTGTTTACTCTTTATGTGAAGATATTCCCGTTTGCAAAGAAATCTTCACAGAGTTCCACCTATCCATGGGCAGATTTTAGAGAAACAGAGTTAAGAAACTGCTCTATCCAAAGGAATGTTCAACTCTCTGAGTTGAATGCAATCATCACAGAGAGGTTTCTGAGAAGGCTTCTGTCTGGATTTTATGTGAAGATATACCCGTTTCGAACGAAGGCCACAAAGTGCTCCAAATATCCACTTGCAGATCCTACAAAAAGAGTGTTTCAAACGTGAGCTATCGAAGGAAGGTTCAACTCTGGACTTTGAATGCAAATGTCCCAAAGAAGTTTCTGCGAAAGCTTCTGTTTAGTTAGGTGACGTTATCCCGTTTCCAACGAAATCCTCAGAGAGGTCCAAATATCCACTTGCAGATGCTACAAAAAGTGTGTTTCAAAACTGCTCCATCCAAAGGAATGTTCAGCTCTGTGAGTTACACTCAATCATCACAAAGTATTTTCTGAGAATGCTTCTGTCCAGTTTTTACTCGAAGCTATTTCCTTTACTACCGTAGGCCACAAAGCGTTCCAAATCTCCACTTGCAGATACTACGAAATGAGTGTTTCAAGCTGAACTCACAAGGGACGGTTCAACTCTGTGAGTTGAATGCCAACATCACGAAGAAGTTCCTGACAATGCTTCTGTTTAGTTATGTGAGGTTTATCCCGTTTCCAACGAAATCCTCAGAGAAGTCCAAATACCCACTTGCAGATTCCACAAAAAGTGTGTTTCCAAACTGCTCCATCCAAAGCAATGTTCAGCTCTGTGGGTTGAACTCAATCGTCACAAAGTGTTTCCTGAGAATGCTACGGTCTAGTTTTTATGGGCAGTGATTTCCTCTACTGCCATAGGCCTCAAAGCGGTCCAAATCTCCCCTTGCAGATTCTACCAAAAGTGTGTTTCCAAACGGCTCTATCAAACGGAATGTTCAACTCTTTGAGTTGAAAGCAACCATCACAAATTAGTTTCTGAGAATGCTTCCATCTAGCTTTTATGAGTAGATATTTCCTTTTCCACCACAGGCCTCGAAGCCCTCCAAATGTCCACTTGCAGATTCTAGAAAGAGAGGGTTTCAAAGCTGCTCTATCAAAAGGAAAGTACAACTCTGGGAGTTGAATGCAAACATCACAAAGTAGTCTCTGAGCATGCTTCCATTTAGCTTTTATGGTAAGATTTTAACTTTTCCATCGAAATCCTCAAAGAGGTCCAAGTATCCGCTTGCAGGTCCCTCTGAAAGAGTGTTTCCAAGCTGCTGTATCAAAAGGAGCCTTCCACTCCGTGAGTTGAATGCAGTCTTCACAAAGAAGAAGTCTCTGACAATGCTTCTCTCTAGTTTTTATGTGAAGATATTTCCTTTTCCACCACAGGCCTGAAAGCGCAAGAAATGTCCACTTGGAGACTCTACGAAAAGAATGTTTCAAAACTGTTCTATGAAAAGCAAGGTTAAACTCTGGGAGTTGAACACATGCCTCACAAAGAAGTTTCTGAGAAGGCATCTGTTTACTCTTTATGTGAAGATATTCCCTTTTGCAAAGAAATCTTCACAGAGTTCCACCTATCCATGTGCAGATCCTAGAGAAACAGAGTTTCGAAACTGCTATATCCAAAGGAATGTTCAACTCTCTGAGTTGAATGCAATCATCACAGAGAGGTTTCTGAGAAGGCTTCTGTCTGGATTTTATGTGAAGATATACCCGTTTCGAACGAAGGCCACAAAGTGCTCCAAATATCCACCTGCAGATCCTACAAAAAGAGTGTTTCAAACGTGAGCTATCGAAGGAAGGTTCAACTCTGGACTTTGAATGCAAACGTCCCAAAGAAGTTTCTGCGAAAGCTTCTGTTCAGTTAGGTGACGTTATCCCGTTTCCAACGAAATGCTCAGGGAGTTCCAAATATCCACTTGCAGATTCTACAAAAAGTGTGTTTCAAAACTGCTCCATCCAAAGGAATGTTCAGCTCTGTGAGTTCAACTAAATCATCACAAAGTGTTTTCTGAGAATGCTTCTGTCCAGTTTTTACTCGAAGCTATTTCCTTTACTACCGTAGGCCACAAAGCGTTCCAAATCTCCACTTGCAGATACTACGAAAAGAGTGTTTCAACCTGAACTCACAAGGGACGGTGCAACTCTGTGAGTTGAATGCCAACATCATGAAGAAGTTCCTGACAATGCTTCTCTTTAGTTAGGTGAGGTTTATCCCGTTTCCAACGAAATCCTCAGAGAAGTCCAAATATCCACTTGCAGATCCTACAAAAAGTGTGTTTCGAAACTGCTCCATCCAAAGGAATGTTCAGCTCTGTGAGTTGAACTCAATCGTCACAAACTGTTTCCTGAGAATGCTACTGTCTAGTTTTTATGGGCAGTGATTTCCTCTACTGCCATAGGCTTCAAAGCGGTCCAAATCTCCCCTTGCAGATTCTACCAAAAGTGTGTTTCCAAACGGCTCTACCAAAGGGAATGTTCAACTCTGTGACTTGAAAGGAATCATCAAAATGTAGTTTCGGAGAATGCTTCCATCTATCTTTTATGAGTAGATATTTCCTTTTCTACCACAGGCCTCGAAGCCCTCCCAATGTCCACTTGCAGATTCTAGAGAGAGAGGGTTTCAAAGCTGCTCTATCAAAAGGAAAGTACAACACTGGGAGTTGAATGCAAACATCACAAAGAAGTCTCTGAGCATGCTTCCATTTAGCTTTTATGGGAAGATAGTCCCTTTTCCATCGAAATCTTCAAAGAGGTCCAAGTATCCGCTTGCAGGTCCCTCTGAAAGAGTGTTTCCAAGCTGCTGTATCAAAAGGAGCCTTCCACTCCGTGAGTTGAATGCAGTCATCACAAAGAAGAAGTCTCTGACAATGCTTCTCTCTAGTTTTTAGCTGAAAATATTTCCTTTTCCACCACAGGCCTGAAAGCGCTCCAAATGTCCACTTGGAGACTCTACGAAAAGAATGTTTCAAAAGTGCTCTATGAAAAGCAAGGTTAAACTCTGGGAGTTGAACACATGCCTCACAAAGAAGTTTCTGAGAAGGCATCTCTTTCCTCTTTATGTGAAGATATTCCCGTTTGCAAAGAAATCTTCACAGAGTTCCACCTGTCCATGTGCAGGTTCTAGAAAAAAGAAAGTTTCGAAACTGCTCTATCCAAAGGAAAGTTCAACTCTGTGAGTTGAATGCAATCATCACAGAGAAGTTTCTGAGAAGGCTTCTGTCTGGATTTTATGTGAAGATATACCCGTTTCGAACGAGGGCCACAAAGTGCTCCAAATATCCACTTGCAGATCCTACAAAAAGAGTGTTTCAAACGTGAACTATCAAAGGAAGGTTCAACTCTGGACTTTGAATGCAAACGTCACAAAGAAGTTTCTGCGAAAGCTTCTGTTTAGTTAGGTGACGTTATCCCGTTTCCAACGTAATCCTCAGAGAGGTCCAAATATCCACTTGCAGATGCTACAAAAAGTGTGTTTCAAAACTGCTCCATCCAAAGGAATGTTCAGCTCTGTGAGTTACACTCAATCATCTCAAACTATTTTCTGAGAATGCTTCTGTCCAGTTTTAACACGAAGCTATATCCTTTACTAGCTTAGGCCTCAAAGCGTTCCAAATCTCCACTTGCAGATACTACGAAAAGAGTGTTTCACCCTGCACTCACAAGGGAAGGTTCAACTCTGTGAGTCGAATGCCAACATCACGAAGAAGTTTCTGAGAATGCTTCTGTTTAGTTATGTGAGGTTTATCCCGTTTCCAAGGAAATCCTCAGAGAAGTCCAAATACCCACTTGCAGATTCCACAAAAAGTGTGTTTCCAAACTGCTCCATCCAAAGCAATGTTCAGCTCTGTGGGTTGAACTCAATCGTCACAAAGTGTTTCCTGAGAATGCTACTGTCTAGATTTCATGGGCAGTGATTTCCTCTACTGCCTTAGGCTTCAAAGCAGTCCAAATCTCCCCTTGCAGATTCTACCAAAAGTGTGTTTCCAAACGGCTCTACCAAAGGGAATGTTCAACTCTGTGACTTGAAAGGAATCATCAAAATGTAGTTTCGGAGAATGCTTCCATCTACCTTTTATGAGTAGATATTTCCTTTTCCACCACAGGCCTCGAAGCCCTCCAAATGTCCACTTACAGATTCTAGAAAGAGAGGGTTTCAAAGCTGCTCTACCGAAAGGAAAGTATAACTCTGTGAGTTGAATGCAAACATCACAAAGAAGTCTCTGAGCATGCTTCCGTTTAGCTTTTATGGGAAGGTTATCCCTTTTCCATCGAAATCTTCAAAGAGGTCCAAATATCCGCTTGCAGATCCCACTGAAAGAGTGTTTCCAAACTGCTGTATCAAAAGGAACCTTCAACTCCGTGAGTTGAATGCAATCATCACAAAGAAGTTTCTGACAATGGTTCTCTCTAGTTTTTAGCTGAAGATATTTCCTTTTCCACCACAGGCCTGAAAGCGCTCCACATGTCCACTTGGAGACTCTACGAAAAGAATGTTTCAAAAGTGCTCTATGAAAAGCAATGTTAAACTCTGGGAGTTGAACACATGCCTCACAAAGAAGTTTCTGAGAAGGCATCTCTTTACTCTTTATGTGAAGATGTTCCCGTTTGCAAAGAAATCTTCACAGAGTTCCACCTATCCATGTGCAGGTTCCAGAAAAAAGAGAGTTTCGAAACTGCTCTATCCAAAGGAATGTTCAACTCTGTGAGTTGAAAGCAATCATCACAGAGAAGTTTCTGAGAAGGCTTCTGTCTGGATTTTATGTGAAAATATACCCGTTTCGAACAAAGGCCACATAGTACTCCAAATATCCACTTGCAGATCCTACAAAAAGAGTGTTTCAAACGTGAGCTATCGAAGGAAGGTTCAACTCTGGACTTTGAATGCAAACGTCCCAAAGAAGTTTCTGCGAAAGCTTCTGTTCAGTTAGGTGACGTTATCCCGTTTCCAACGAAATCCTCAGGGAGTTCCAAATATCCACTTGCAGATTCTACAAAAAGTGTGTTTCATAACTGCTCCATCCAAAGGAATGTTCGACTCTGTGAGTTCAACTAAATCATCACAAAGTATTTTCTGAGAATGCTTCTGTCCAGTTTTTACTCGAAGCTATTTCCTTTACTACCGTAGGCCACAAAGCGTTCCAAATCTCCACTTGCAGATACTACGAAAAGAGAGTTTCATCCTGATCTCACAAGGGACGGTTCAACTCTCTGAGTTGAATGCCAACATCACGTAGAAGTTCCTGACAATGCTTCTGTTTAGTTAGGTGAGGTTTATCCCGTTTCCAACGAAATCCTCAGAGAAGTCCAAATATCCACTTGCAGATCCTACAAAAAGTGTGTTTCGAAACTGCTCCATCCAAAGGAATGTTCAGCTCTGTGAGTTGAACTCAATCGTCACAAAGTGTTTCCTGAGAATGCTACTGTCTAGATTTCATGGGCAGTGATTTCCTCTACTGCCATAGGCTTCAAAGCGGTCCAAATCTCCCCTTGCAGATTCTACCAAAAGTGTGTTTCCAAACGGCTCTACCAAAGGGAATGTTCAACTCTGTGACTTGAAAGGAATCATCAAAATGTAGTTTCGGAGAATGCTTCCATCTAGCTTTTATGAGTAGATAGTTGATTTTCCACCACAGGCCTCGAAACCCTCCAAATGTCCACTTGGAGATTCTAGAAAGAGAGGGTTTCAAAGCTGCTCTATCAAAAGGAAAGTACAACTCTGGGAGTTGAATGCAAACATCACAAAGTAGTCTCTGAGCATGCTTCCATTTAGCTTTTATGGGAAGATTATCCCTTTTCCATCGAAATCTTCAAAGAGGTCCAAGTATCCGCTTGCATGTGCCTCTGAAAGAGTGTTTCCAAGCTGCTGTATCAAAAGGAGCCTTCCACTCCGTGAGTTGAATGCAGTCATCACAAAGAAGAAGTCTCTGACAATGCTTCTCTCTAGTTTTTATGTGAAGATATTTCCTTTTCCACCACAGGCCTGAAAGCGCTCCAAATGTCCACTTGGAGACTCTACGAAAAGAATGTTTCAAAACTGTTCTATGAAATGCAAGGTTAAACTCTGGGAGTTGAACACATGCCTCACAAAGAAGTTTCTGAGAAGGCATCTCTTTACTCTTTATGTGAAGATATTCCCGTTTGCAAAGAAATCTTCACAGAGTTCCACCTATCCATGTGCAGGTTCTAGAAAAAAAGAGAGTTTCGAAACTGCTCTATCCAAAGTAATGTTCAACTCTGTGAGTTGAATGCAATCATCACAGAGAAGTTTCTGAGAAGGCTTCTGTCTGGATTTTATGTGAAGATATACCCGTTTCGAATGAAGGCCACAAAGTGCTCCAAATATCCACTTGCAGATCCTACAAAAAGAGTGTTTCAAACGTGAGCTATCGAAGGAAGTTTCAACTCTGGACTTTGAATGCAAATATCCCAAAGATGTTTCTGCAAAAGCTTCTGTTCAGTTAGGTGACGTTATCCCTTTTCCAACGAAATCCTCAGGGAGGTCCAACTATCCACTTGCAGATTCTACAAAAAGTGTGTTTCAAAACTGCTCCATCCAAAGGAATGTTCAGCTCTGTGGGTTCAACTCAATCATCACAAAGTATTTTCTGAGAATGCTTCTGTCCAGTTTTTACACGAAGCTATTTCCTTTACTACCTTAGGCCTCAAAGCGTTCCAAATCTCCACTTGCAGATACTACGAAAAGAGTGTTTCAACCTGAACTCACAAGGGAAGGTTCAACTCTGTGAGTTGAATGTCAACATTACGAAGAATTTTCTGAGAATGCTTCTGTTTAGTTATGTGAAGTTTATCCCTTTCCAACGAAATCCTCAGAGAAGCCCAAATACCCACTTGCAGATTCCACAAAAAGTGTGTTTCGAAACTGCTCCATCCAAAGCAATGTTCAGCTCTGTGGGTTGAACTCAATCGTCACAAAGTGTTTTCTGAGAATGCTACGGTCTATTTTTTATGGGCAGTGATTTCCTCTACTGCCATAGGCCTCAAAGCGGTCCAAATCTCCCCTTGCAGATTCTACCAAAAGTGTGTTTCCAAACGGCTCTATCAAACGGAATGTTCAACTCTGTGAGTTGAAAGCAACCATCACAAAGTAGTTTCTGAGAATGCTTCCATCTACCTTTTATGAGTAGATATTTCCTTTTCCACAACAGGCCTTGAAGCCCTCCAAATGTCCACTTACAGATTCTAGAAAGAGAGGGTTTCAAAGCTGCTCTATCGAAAGGAAAGTATAACTCTGTGAGTTGAATGCAAACATCACAAAGAAGTCTCTGAGCACGCTTCCGTTTAGCTTTTATGGGAAGATTATCCCTTCTCCATCGAAATCTTCAAAGAGGTCCAAATATCCGCTTGCAGTTCCCACCGAAAGAGTGTTTCCAAACTGCTGTATCAAAAGGAACCTTCAACTCCGTGAGTTGAATGCAATCATCACAAAGAAGTTTCTGACAATGCTTCTCTCTAGTTTTTAGGTGAAGACATTTCCTTTTCCACCACAGGCCTGAAAGCGCTCCAAACGTCCACTTGGAGACTCTACGAAAAGAATGTTTCAAAACTGCCCTATGAAAAGCAAAGTTAAATTGCTGGGAGTTGAACACATGCCTCACAAAGAAGTTTCTGAGAAGGCATCTGTTTACTCTTTATGTGAAGATATTCCCGTTTGCAAAGAAATCTTCACAGAGTTCCACCTATCCATGAGCAGATTCTAGAGAAACAGATTTTCGAAACTGCTCTATCCAAAGGAATGTTCAACTCTCTGAGTTGAATGCAATCATCACAGAGAGGTTTCTGAGAAGGCTTCTGTCTGGATTTTATGTGAAGATATACCCGTTTCGAACGAGGGCCACAAAGTGCTCCAAATATCCACTTGCAGATCCTACAAAAAGAGTGTTTCAAACGTGAACTATCAAAGGAAGGTTCAACTCTGGACTTTGAATGCAAACGTCACAAAGAAGTTTCTGCGAAAGCTTCTGTTTAGTTAGGTGACGTTATCCAGTTTCCAACGAAATCCTCGGAGAGGTCCAAATATCCACTTGCAGATGCTACAAAAAGTGTGTTTCAAAACTGCTCCATCCAAAGGAATGTTCAGCTCTGTGAGTTACACTCAATCATCACAAAGTATTTTCTGAGAATGCTTCTGTCCAGTTTTTACTCGAAGCTATTTCCTTTACTACCGTAGGCCACAAAGCGTTCCAAATCTCCACTTGCAGATACTACGAAAAGAGTGTTTCAACCTGAACTCACAAGGGACGGTGCAACTCTGTGAGTTGAATGCCAACATCATGAAGAAGTTCCTGACAATGCTTCTGTTTAGTTATGTGAGGTTTATCCCGTTTCCAACGAAATCCTCAGAGAAGTCCAAATACCCACTTGCAGATTCCACAAAAAGTGTGTTTCCAAACTGCTCCATCCAAAGCAATGTTCAGCTCTGTGGGTTGAACTCAATCGTCACAAAGTGTTTCCTGAGAATGCTACGGTCTAGTTTTTATGGGCAGCGATTTCCTGTACTGCCATAGGCCTCAAAGTGGTCCAAATCTCCGCTTGCAGATTCTACCAAGAATGTGTTTCCAAACGGCTCTATCAAAGGGAATGTTCAACTCTGTGACTTGAAAGCAACCATCACAAAGTAGTTTCTGTGAATGCTTCCATCTAGCTTTTATGAGTAGATATTTCCTTTTCCACCACAGGCCTCGAAGCCCTCCCAATGCCACTTGCAGTTTCTAGAGAGAGAGGGTTTCAAAGCTGCTCTATCAAAAGGAAAGTACAACTCTGGGAGTTGAATGCAAACATCACAAAGAAGTCCCTGAGCATGCTTCCATTTAGCTTTTATGGGAAGATTATCCCTTTTCCATCGAAATCTTCCAAGAGCTCCAAGTATCCGCTTGCAGGTCCCTCTGATAGAGTGTTTCCAAGCGGCTGTATCAAAAGGAGCCTTCCACTCCGTGAGTTGAATGCAGTCATCACAAAGAAGAAGTTTCTGACAATGCTTCTGCCTAGTTTTATGTGAAGATGTTTCCTTTTCCACCATAGGCCTTAAAGCGCCACAAGTGAACACTTGCTGATACTAGGAAAAGAGTGTTTCAAAACTGCTCTTTCTAAAGAAGTGTTCAACTCTCTGAGTTGAATTCACACATCACAAAGGAGTTTCTGAGAATGCTTCTCTTTACTCTTTATGTGAAGATATTCCCGTTTGCAAAGAAATCTTCACAGAGTTCCACCTATCCATGTGCAGGTTCTAGAAAAAAGAGAGTTTCGAAACTGCTCTATCCAAAGGAATGTTCAACTCTGTGAGTTGAATGCAATCATCACAGAGAAGTTTCTGAGAAGGCTTCTGTCTGGATTTTATGTGAAGATATACCCGTTTCGAACGAGGGCCACAAAGTGCTCCAAATATCCACTTGCAGATCCTACAAAAAGAGTGTTTCAAACGTGAACTATCAAAGGAAGGTTCAACTCTGGACTTTGAATGCAAACGTCACAAAGAAGTTTCTGCGAAAGCTTCTGTTCAGTTAGGTGTCGTTATCCCGTTTCCAACGAAATCCTCAGGGAGTTCCAAATATCCACTTGCAGATTCTACAAAAAGTGTGTTTCAAAACTGCTCCATCCAAAGGAATGTGCAGCTCTGTGAGTTCAACTAAATCATCACAAAGTATTTTCTGAGAATGCTTCTGTCCAGTTTTTACACGAAGCTATATCCTTTACTAGCTTAGGCCTCAAAGCGTTCCAAATCTCCACTTGCAGATACTACGAAAAGAGTGTTTCACCCTGAACTAACAAGAGAAGTTTCAACTCAGTGAGTTGAATGCCAACATCACGAAGAAGTTTCTGAGAATGCTTCTGTTTAGTTATGTGAGGTATATCCCGTTTCCAATGAAATCCTCAGAGAAGTCCAAGTACCCACTTGCAGATTCCACAAAAAGTGTGTTTCGAAACTGCTCCATCCAAAGCAATGTTCAGCTCTGTGGGTTGAACTCAATCGTCACAAAGTGTTTCCTGAGAATGCTACGGTCTAGTTTTTATGGGCAGTGATTTCCTCTACTGCCATAGGCCTCAAAGCGGTCCAAATCTCCCCTTGCAGATTCTACCAAAAGTGTGTTTCCAAACGGCTCTATCAAAGGGAATGTTCAACTCTGTGAGTTGAAAGCAACCATCACAAAGTAGTTTCTGAGAATGCTTCCATCTACCTTTTATGAGTAGATATTTCCTTTTCCACCACAGGCCTCGAAGCCCTCCAAATGTCCACTTACAGATTCTAGAAAGAGAGGGTTTCAAAGCTGCTCTATCGAAAGGAAAGTATAACTCTGTGAGTTGAATGCAAACATCACAAAGAAGTCTCTGAGCATGCTTCCGTTTAGCTTTTATGGGAAGATTATCCCTTTTCCATCGAAATCTTCAAAGAGGTCCAAATATCCGCTTGCAGATCCCACTGAAAGAGTGTTTCCAAACTGCTGTATCAAAAGGAACCTTCAACACCGTGAGTTGAATGCAATCATCACAAAGAAGTTTCTGACAATGCTTCTCTCTAGTTTTTATGTGAAGATATTTCCTTTTCCACCACAGGCCTGAAAGCTCTCCAATTGTCCACTTGGAGACTCTACGAAAAGAATGTTTCAAAACTGTTCTATGAAAAGCAAGGTTAAACTCTGGGAGTTGAACACATGCCTCACAAAGAAGTTTCTGAGAAGGCATCTGTTTACTCTTTATGTGAAGATATTCCCGTTTGCAAAGAAATCTTCACAGAGTTCCACCTATCCATGGGCAGATTCTAGAGAAACAGAGTTAAGAAACTGCTCTATCCAAAGGAATGTTCAACTCTCTGAGTTGAATGCAATCATCACAGAGAGGTTTCTGAGAAGGCTTCTGTCTGGATTTTATGTGAAGATATACCCGTTTCGAACGAGGGCCACAAAGTGCTCCAAATATCCACTTGCAGATCCTACAAAAAGAGTGTTTCAAACGTGAACTATCAAAGGAAGGTTCAACTCTGGACTTTGAATGCAAACGTCACAAAGAAGTTTCTGCGAAAGCTTCTGTTCAGTTAGGTGTCGTTATCCCGTTTCCAACGAAATCCTCAGGGAGTTCCAAATATCCACTTGCAGATTCTACAAAAAGTGTGTTTCAAAACTGCTCCATCCAAAGGAATGTGCAGCTCTGTGAGTTCAACTAAATCATCACAAAGTATTTTCTGAGAATGCTTCTGTCCAGTTTTTACTCGAAGCTATTTCCTTTACTACCGTAGGCCACAAAGCGTTCCAAATCTCCACTTGCAGATACTACGAAAAGAGAGTTTCATCCTGATCTCACAAGGGACGGTTCAACTCTCTGAGTTGAATGCCAACATCACGAAGAAGTTCCTGACAATGCTTCTGTTTAGTTAGGTGAGGTTTATCCCGTTTCCAACGAAATCCTCAGAGAAGTCCAAATATCCACTTGCAGATCCTACAAAAAGTGTGTTTCGAAACTGCTCCATCCAAAGGAATGTTCAGCTCTGTGAGTTGAACTCAATCGTCACAAAGTGTTTCCTGAGAATGCTACTGTCTAGTTTTTATGTGCAGTGATTTCCTCTACTGCCTTAGGCCTCAAAGCGGTCCAAATCTCCCCTTGCTGATTCTACCAAAAGTTGGTTTCCAAACGGCTCTTTCAAACGGAATGTTCAACTCTGTGACTTGAAAGCGGTCATCACAAAGTAGTTTCTGAGAATGCTTCCATCTAGCTTTTATGAGTAGATATTTCCTTTTCCACCACAGGCCTCGAAGCCCTCCAAATGTCGACTTGCAGATTCTAGAAAGAGAGGTTTTCAAAGCTGCTCTATCGAAAGGAAAGTACAACTCTGTGAGTTGAATGCAAACATCACAAAGAAGTCTCTGAGCATGCTTCCATTTAGCTTTTATGGGAAGATTATCCCTTTTCCATCGAAATCTTCAAAGAGGTCCAAGTATCCGCTTGCAGGTCCCTCTGAAAGAGTGTTTCCAAGCTGCTGTATCAAAAGGAGCCTTCCACTCCGTGAGTTGAATGCAGTCATCACAAAGGAGAAGTTTCTGACAATGCTTCTCTCTAGTTTTTAGCTGAAGATATTTCCTTTTCCACCACAGGCCTGAAAGCGCTCCAAATGTCCACTTGGAGACTCTACGAAAAGAATGTTTCAAAACTGCTCTATGAAAAGCAGTGTTAAACTCTGGGAGTTGAACACATGCCTCACAAAGAAGTTTCTGAGAAGGCATCTCTTTACTCTTTATGTGAAGATATTCCCGTTTGCAAAGAAATCTTCACAGAGTTCCACCTATCCATGTGCAGGTTCTAGAAAAAAGAGAGTTTCGAAACTGCTCTATCCAAAGGAATGTTCAACTCTGTGAGTTGAATGCAATCATCACAGAGAAGTTTCTGAGAAGGCTTCTGTCTGGATTTTATGTGAAGATATACCCGTTTCGAAAGAAGGCCACAAAGTGCTCCAAATATCCACCTGCAGATCGTACAAAAAGAGTGTTTCAAACGTGAGCTATCGAAGGAAGGTTCAACTCTGGACTTTGAATGCAAACGTCCCAAAGAAGTTTCTGCGAAAGCTTCTGTTTAGTTAGGTGACGTTATCCCGTTTCCAACGAAATCCTCAGAGAGGTCCAAATATCCACTTGCAGATGCTACAAAAAGTGTGTTTCAAAACTGCTCCATCCAAAGGAATGTTCAGCTCTGTGAGGTACACTCAAACATCACAAAGTATTTTCTAAGAATGCTTCTGTCCAGTTTTCACACGAAGCTATATCCTTTACTACCTTACGCCTCAAAGCGTTCCAAATCTCCACTTGCAGATACTACGAAAAGAGTGTTTCACCCTGAACTCACAAGGGAAGGTTCAACTCTGGGAGGTGAATGCCAACATCACGAAGAAGTTTCTGAGAATGCTTCTGTTTAGTTATGTGAGGTTTATCCCGTTTCCAACGAAATCCTCAGAGAAGTCCAAATACCCACTTGCAGATTCCACAAAAAGTGTGTTTCCAAACTGCTCCATCCAAAGCAATGTTCAGCTCTGTGGGTTGAACTCAATCGTCACAAAGTGTTTCCTGAGAATGCTTACTGTCTAAATTTCATGGGCAGTGATTTCCTCTACTGCCATAGGCTTCAAAGCGGTCCAAATCTCCCCTTGCAGATTCTACCAAAAGTGCGTTTCCAAACGGCTCTACCAAAGGGAATGTTCAACTCTGTGACTTGAAAGGAATCATCAAAATGTAGTTTCGGAGAATGCTTCCATCTACCTTTTATGAGTAGATATTTCCTTTTCCACCACAGGCCTCGAAGCCCTCCAAATGTCCACTTACAGATTCTAGAAAGAGAGGGTTTCAAAGCTGCTCTATCGAAAGGAATGTATAACTCTGTGAGTTGAATGCAAACATCACAAAGAAGTCTCTGAGCATGCTTCCGTTTAGCTTTTATGGGAAGATTATCCCTTTTCCATCGAAATCTTCAAAGAGGTCCAAATATCCGCTTGCAGATCCCACTGAAAGAGTGTTTCCAAACTGCTGTATCAAAAGGAACCTTCAACTCCGCGAGTTGAATGCAATCATCACAACGAAGTTTCTGACAATGCTTCTCTCTAGTTTTTAGCTGAAGATATTTCCTTTTCCACCACAGGCCTGAAAGCGTTCCAAATGTCCACACGGAGACTCTACGAAAAGAATGTTTCAAAAGTGCTCTATGAAAAGCAAGGTTAAACTCTGGGAGTTGAACACATGCCTCACAAAGAAGTTTCTGAGAAGGCATCTCTTTACTCTTTATGTGAAGATGTTCCCGTTTGCAAAGAAATCTTCACAGAGTTCCACCTATCCATGTGCAGGTTCTAGAAAAAAGAGAGTTTCGAAACTGCTCTATCCAAAGGAATGTTCAACTCTGTGAGTTGAAAGCAATCATCACAGAGAAGTTTCTGAGAAGGCTTCTGTCTGGATTTTATGTGAAGATATACCCGTTTCGAACGAAGGCCACAAAGTGCTCCAAATATCCACCTGCAGATCCTACAAAAAGAGTGTTTCAAACGTGATCTATCGAAGGAAGGTTCAACTCTGGACTTTGAATGCAAACGTCCCAAAGAAGTTTCTGTGAAAGATTCTGTTCAGTTAGGTGACGTTATCCCGTTTCCAACGAAATCCTCAGGGAGTTCCAAATATCCACTTGCAGATTCTACAAAAAGTGTGTTTCAAAACTGCTCCATCCAAAGGAATGTTCAGCTCTGTGAGTTCAACTAAATCATCACAAAGTATTTTCTGAGAATGCTTCTGTCCAGTTTTATCACGAAGCTATTTCCTTTACTATCGTAGGCCTCAAAGCGTTCCAAATCTCCACTTGCAGATACTACGAAAAGAGTGTTTCAACCTGAACTAACAAGGGAAGGTTCAACTCTGTGAGTTGAATGCCAACATCACGAATAAGTTTCTGAGAATTCTTCTGTTTAGTTAGGTGAGGTTTATCCCGTTTCCAACGAAATCCTCAGAGAAGTCCAAATATCCACTTGCAGATCCTACAAAAAGTGTGTTTCGAAACTCCTCCATCCAAAGGAATGTTTAACACTGTGAGTTGAACTCAATCGTCACAAAGTGTTTCCTGAGAATGCTACGGTCTAGTTTTTATGGGCAGTGATTTCCTCTACTGCCATAGGCCTCAAAGCGGTCCAAATCTCCCCTTGTAGAATCTACCAAAAGTGTGTTTCCAAACGGCTCTATCAAAGGGAATGTTCAACTCTGTGAGTTGAAAGCAACCATCACAAAGTAGTTTCTGAGAATGCTTCCATCTACCTTTTATGAGTAGATATTTCCTTTTCCACCACAGGCCTCGAAGCCCTCCAAATGTCCACTTACAGATTCTAGAAAGAGAGGGTTTAAAGCTGCTCTATGGAAATGAAAGTATAACTCTGTGAGTTGAATGCAAACATCACAAAGAAGTCTCTGAGCATGCTTCCGTTTAGCTTTTATGGGAAGATTATCCCTTTTCCATCGAAATCTTCAAAGAAGTCCAAATATCCGCTTGCAGATCCCACTGAAAGAGTGTTTCCAAACTGCTGTATCAAAAGGAACCTTCAACTTCGTGAGTTGAATGCAATCATCACAAAGAAGTTTCTGACAATGCTTCTCTCTAGTTTTTATGTGAAGATATTTCCTTTTCCACCACAGGCCTGAAAGCGCAACAAATGTCCACTTGGAGACTCTACGAAAAGAATGTTTCAAAACTGTTCTATGAAAAGCAAGGTTAAACTCTGGGAGTTGAACCCATGCCTCACAAAGAAGTTTCTGAGAAGGCATCTCTTTACTCTTTATGTGAAGATATTCCCGTTTGCAAAGAAATCTCCCCAGAGTTCCACCTATCCATGTGCAGGTTCTAGAAAAAAGAGAGTTTCGAAACTGCTCTATCCAAAGGAATGTTCAACTCTGTGAGTTGAATGCAATCATCACAGAGAAGTTTCTGAGAAGGCTTCTGTCTGGATTTTATGTGAAGATATACCCTTTTCGAACGAAGGCCACAAATTGCTCCAAATATCCACTTACAGATCCTACAAAAAGGGTGTTTCAAATGTGAGCTATCGAAGGAAGGTTCAACTCTGGACTTTGAATGCAAACGTCCCAAAGAAGTTTCTGCGAAAGCTTCTGTTCAGTTAGGTGACGTTATCCCGTTTCCAACGAAATCCTCAGGGAGTTCCAAATATCCACTTGCAGATTCTACAAAAAGTGTGTTTCAAAACTGCTCCATCCAAAGGAATGTTCAGCTCTGTGAGTTCAACTAAACCATCACAAAGTATTCTCTGAAAATGCTTCTGTCCAGTTTCCACACGAAGCTATATCCTTTACTACCTTATGCCTCAAAGCGTTCCAAATCTCCACTTGCAGATACTACGAAAAGAGTGTTTCACCCTGAACTCACAAGGGAAGGTTCAACTCTGGGAGTGGAATGCCAACATCACGAAGAAGTTTCTGAGAATGCTTCTGTTTAGTTATGTGAGGTTTATCCCGTTTCCAATGAAATCCTCAGAGAAGTCCAAATACCCACTTGCAGATTCCACAAAAAGTGTGTTTCCAAACTGCTCCATCCAAAGCAATGTTCAGCTCTGTGGGTTGAACTCAATCGTCACAAAGTGTTTCCTGAGAATGCTACGGTCTAGTTTTTATGGGCAGTGATTTCCTCTACTGCCATAGGCCTCAAAGCGGTCCAAATCTCCCCTTGCAGATTCTACCAAAAGTGTGTTTCCAAACGGCTCTATCAAACGGAATGTTCAACTCTTTGTGTTGAAAGCAACCATCACAAATTAGTTTCTGAGAATGCTTCCATCTACCTTTTATGAGTAGATATTTCCTTTTCCACCACAGGCTTCGAAGCCCTCCAAATGTCCAGTTACAGATTCTAGAAAGAGAGGGTTTCAAAGCTGCTCTATCGAAAGGAAAGTATAACTCTGTGAGTTGAATGCAAACATCACAAAGAAGTCTGTGAGCATGCTTCCGTTTAGCTTTTATGGGAAGATTATCCCTTTTCCATCGAAATCTTCAAAGAGGTCCAAATATCTGCTTGCAGATCCCACTGAAAGAGTGTTTCCAAACTGCTGTATCAAAAGGAACCTTCAACTCCGCGAGTTGAATGCAATCATCACAACGAAGTTTCTGACAATGCTTCTCTCTAGTTTTTAGCTGAAGATATTTCCTTTTCCACCACAGGCCTGAAAGCGCTCCAAATGTCCACTTGGAGACTTTACGAAAAGAATGTTTCAAAAGTGCTCTATGAAAAGCAAGGTTAAACTCTGGGAGTTGAACACATGCCTCACAAAGAAGTTTCTGAGAAGGTATCTCTTTCCTCTTTATGTGAAGATATTCCCGTTTGCAAAGAAATCTTCACAGAGTTCCACCTATCCATGTGCAGGTTCTAGAAAAAAGAGAGTTTCGAAACTGCTCTATCCAAAGGAATGTTCAACTCTGTGAGTTGAATGCAATCATCACAGAGAAGTTTCTGAGAAGGCTTCTGTCTGGATTTTATATGAAGATATACCCGTTTCGAACGAGGGCCACAAAGTGCTCCAAATATCCACTTGCAGATCCTACAAAAAGAGTGTTTCAAACGTCAACTATCAAAGGAAGGTTCAACTCTGGACTTTGAATGCAAACGTCACAAAGAAGTTTCTGCGAAAGCTTCTGTTTAGTTAGGTGACGTTATCCCGTTTCCAACGAAATCCTCGGAGAGGTCCAAATATCCACTTGCAGATGCTACAAAAAGTGTGTTTCAAAACTGCTCCATTCAAAGGAATGTTCAGCTCTGTGAGTTACACTCAATCATCACAAAGTATTTTCTGAGAATGCTTCTGTCCAGTTTTTACTCAAAGCTATTTCCTTTACTACCGTAGGCCACAAAGCGTTCCAAATCTCCACTTGCAGATACTACGAAAAGAGTGTTTCAACCTGAACTCACAAGGGACGGTGCAACTCTGTGAGTTGAATGCCAACATCATGAAGAAGTTCCTGACAATGCTTCCGTTTAGTTATGTGAGGTTTATCCCGTTTCCAATGAAATCCTCAGAGAAGTCCATATACCCACTTGCAGATTCCACAAAAAGTGTGTTTCCAAACTGCTCCATCCAAAGCAATGTTCAGCTCCTGTGGGTTGAACTCAATCGTCACAAAGTGTTTCCTGAGAATGCTATGGTCTAGTTTTTATGGGCAGTGATTTCCTCTACTGCCATAGGCCTCAAAGCGGTCCAAATCTCCCCTTGCAGATTCTACCAACAGTGTGTTTCCAAACGGCTCTATCAAAGGGAATGTTCAACTCTGTGAGTTGAAAGCAACCATCACAAAGTGGTTTCTGAAAACGCTTCCATTTACCTTTTATGAGTAGATATTTCCTTTTCCACCACAGGCCTCGAAGCCCTCCAAATGTCCACTTACAGATTCTAGAAAGAGAGGGTTTCAAAGCTGCTCTATAGAAAGGAACGTATAACTCTGTGAGTTGAATGCAAACATCACAAAGAAGTCTCTGAGCATGCTTCCGTTTAGCTTTTATGGGAAGATTATCCCTTTTCCATCGAAATCTTCAAAGAGGTCCAAATATCCGCTTGCAGATCCCACTGAAAGAGTGTTTCCAAACTGCTGTATCAAAAGGAACCTTCAACTCCGTGAGTTGAATGCAATCATCACAAAGAAGTTTCTGACAATGCTTCTCTCTAGTTTTTAGCTGAAGATATTTCCTTTTCCACCACAGGCCTGAAAGCGCTCCAAATGTCCACTTGGAGACTCTAAGAAAAGAATGTTTCAAAAGTGCTCTATGAAAAGCAAGGTTAAACTCTGGGAGTTGAACACATGCCTCACAAAGAAGTTTCTGAGAAGGCATCTCTTTCCTCTTTATGTGAAGATATTCCCGTTTGCAAAGAAATCTTCACAGAGTTCCACCTGTCCATGTGCAGGTTCTAGAAAAAAGAAAGTTTCGAAACTGCTCTATCCAAAGGAAAGTTCAACTCTGTGAGTTGAATGCAATCATCACAGAGAAGTTTCTGAGAAGGCTTCTGTCTGGATTTTATGTGAAGATATACCCGTTTCGAACGAGGGACACAAAGTGCTCCAAATATCCACTTGCAGATCCTACAAAAAGAGTGATTCAAACGTGAACTATCAAAGGAAGGTTCAACTCTGGACTTTGAATGCAAACGTCACAAAGAAGTTTCTGCGAAAGCTTCTGTTCAGTTAGGTGACGTTATCCCGTTTCCAACGAAATCCTCAGGGAGTTCCAAATATCCACTTGCAGATTCTACAAAAAGTGTGTTTCATAACTGCTCCATCCAAAGGAATGTTCGACTCTGTGAGTTCAACTAAATCATCACAAAGTATTTTCTGAGAATGCTTCTGTCCAGTTTTCACACGAAGCTATATCCTTTACTACCTTAGGCCTCAAAGCGTTCCAAATCTCCACTTGCAGATACTACGAAAAGAGTGTTTCACCCTGAACTCACAAGGGAAGTTTCAAATCTGGGAGTTGAATGCCAACATCACGAAGAAGTTTCTGAGAATGCTTCCGTTTAGTTATGTGAGGTTTATCCCGTTTCCAATGAAATCCTCAGAGAAGTCCAAATACCCACTTGCAGATTCCACAAAAAGTGTGTTTCCAAACTGCTCCATCCAAAGCAATGTTCAGCTCTGTGGGTTGAACTCAATCGTCACAAAGTGTTTCCTGAGAATGCTACGGTCTAGTTTTTATGGGCAGTGATTTCCTCTACTGCCATAGGCCTCAATGCGGTCCAAATCTCCCCTTGCAGATTCTACCAACAGTGTGTTTCCAAACGGCTCTATCAAAGGGAATGTTCAACTCTGTGAGTTGAAAGCAACCATCACAAAGTAGTTCCTGAGAATGCTTCCATCTACCTTTTATGAGTAGATATTTCCTTTTCCACCACAGGCCTCGAAGCCCTCCAAATGTCCACTTACAGATTCTAGAAAGAGAGGGTTTCAAAGCTGCTCTATCGAAAGGAATGTATAACTCTGTGAGTTGAATGGAAACATCACAAAGAAGTCTCTGAGCATGCTTCCGTTTAGCTTTTATGGGAAGATTATCCCTTTTCCATCGAAATCTTCAAAGAGGTCCAAATATCCGCTTGCAGATCCCACTGAAAGAGTGTTTCCAAACTGCTGTATCAAAAGGAACCTTCAACTCCGTGAGTTGAATGCAATCATCACAAAGAAGTTTCTGACAATGCTTCTCTCTAGTTTTTAGCTGAAGATATTTCCTTTTCCACCACAGGCCTGAAAGCGTTCCAAATGTCCACACGGAGACTCTACGAAAAGAATGTTTCAAAAGTGCTCTATGAAAAGCAAGGTTAAACTCTGGGAGTTGAACACATGCCTCACAAAGAAGTTTCTGAGAAGGCATCTCTTTCCTCTTTATGTGAAGATATTCCCGTTTGCAAAGAAATCTTCACAGAGTTCCACCTATCCATGTGCAGGTTCTAGAAAAAAGAGAGTTTCGAAACTGCTCTATCCAAAGGAATGTTCAACTCTGTGAGTTGAATGCAATCATCACAGAGAAGTTTCTGAGAAGGCTTCTGTCTGGATTTTATGTGAAGATATACCCGTTTCGAACGAGGGCCACAAAGTGCTCCAAATATCCACTTGCAGATCCTACAAAAAGAGTGTTTCAAACGTGAACTATCAAAGGAAGGTTCAACTCTGGACTTTGAATGCAAACGTCACAAAGAAGTTTCTGCGAAAGCTTCTGTTCAGTTAGGTGACGTTATCCCGTTTCCAACGAAATCCTCAGGGAGTTCCAAATATCCACTTGCAGATTCTACAAAAAGTGTGTTTCAAAACTGCTCCATCCAAAGGAATGTTCAGCTCTGTGAGTTCAACTAAATCATCACAAAGTATTTTCTGAGAATGATTCTGTCCAGTTTTTACACGAAGCTATATCCTTTACTACCTTAGGCCTCAAAGCGTTCCAAATCTCCACTTGCAGATACTACGAAAAGAGTGTTTCACCCTGAACTCACAAGGGAAGTTTCAACTCTGGGAGTTGAATGCCAACATCACGAAGAAGTTTCTGAGAATGCTTCTGTTTAGTTATGTGAGGTTTATCCCGTTTCCAACGAAATCCTCAGAGAAGTCCAAATACCCACTTGCAGATTCCACAAAAAGTGTGTTTCCAAACTGCTCCATCCAAAGCAATGTTCAGCTCTGTGGGTTGAACTCAATCGTCACAAAGTGTTTCCTGAGAATGCTACGGTCTAGTTTTTATGGGCAGTGATTTCCTCTACTGCCATAGGCCTCAAAGCGGTCCAAATCTCCCCTTGCAGATTCTACCAAAAGTGTGTTTCCAAACGGCTCTATCAAACGGAATGTTCAACTCTGTGAGTTGAAAGCAACCATAACAAAGTAGTTTCTGAGAATGCTTCCATCTACCTTTTATGAGTAGATATTTCCTTTTCCACCACAGGCCTCGAAGCCCTCCAAATGTCCACTTACAGATTCTAGAAAGAGAGGGTTTCAAAGCTGCTCTATCGAAAGGAAAGTATAACTCTGTGAGTTGAATGCAAACATCACAAAGAAGTCTCTGAGCATGCTTCCGTTTAGCTTTTATGGGAAGATTATCCCTTTCCCATCGAAATCTTCAAAGAGGTCCAAATATCCGCTTGCAGTTCCCACCGAAAGAGTGTTTCCAAACTGCTGTATCAAAAGGAACCTTCAACTCCGTGAGTTGAATGCAATCATCACAAAGAAGTTTCTGACAATGCTTCTCTCTAGTTTTTAGCTGAAGATATTTCCTTTTCCACCACAGGCCTGAAAGCGCTCCAAATGTCCACTTGGAGACTCTACGAAAAGAATGTTTCAAAAGTGCTCTATGAAAAGCAAGGTTAAACTCTGGGAGTTGAACACATGCCTCACAAAGAAGTTTCTGAGAAGGCATCTCTTTACTCTTTATGTGAAGATATTCCCGTTTGCAAAGAAATCTTCACAGAGTTCCACCTATCCATGTGCAGGTTCTAGAAAAAAGAGAGTTTCGAAACTGCTCTATCCAAAGGAATGTTCAACTCTGTGAGTTGAATGCAATCATCACAGAGAAGTTTCTGAGAAGGCTTCTGTCTGGATTTTATGTGAAGATATACCCGTTTCGAACGAGGGCCACAAAGTGCTCCAAATATCCACTTGCAGATCCTACAAAAAGAGTGTTTCAAACGTGAACTATCAAAGGAAGGTTCAACTCTGGACTTTGAATGCAAACGTCACAAAGAAGTTTCTGCGAAAGCTTCTGTTTAGTTAGGTGACGTTATCCCGTTTCCAACGAAATCCTCAGAGAGGTCCAAATATCCACCTGCAGATTCTGCAAAAAGTGTGTTTCCAAACTGCTCCACCCAAAGGCATGTTCAGCTCTGTGAGTTAAACTCAATCATCACAAAGTATTTTCTGAGAATGCTTCTGTCCAGTTTTTACTCGAAGCTATTTCCTTTACTACCGTAGGCCACAAAGCGTTCCAAATCTCCACTTGCAGATACTACGAAAAGAGTGTTTCAACCTGAACTCACAAGGGACGGTTCAACTCTGTGAGTTGAATGCCAACATCACGAAGCAGTTCCTGACAAGGCTTCTGTTTAGTTAGGTGAGGTTTATCCCGTTTCCAACGAAATCCTCAGAGAAGTCCAAATATCCACTTGCAGATCCTACAAAAAGTGTGTTTCGAAACTGCTCCATCCAAAGGAATGTTCAGCTCTGTGAGTTGAACTCAATCGTCACAAAGTGTTTCCTGAGAATGCTACGGTCTAGTTTTTATGGGCAGTGATTTCCTCTACTGCCATAGGCCTCAAAGCGGTCGAAATCTCCCCTTGCAGATTCTACCAACAGTGTGTTTCCAAACGGCTCTATCAAAGGGAATGTTCAACTCTGTGAGTTGAAAGCAACCATCACAAAGCCGTTTCGGAGAATGCTTCCATCTACCTTTTATGAGTAGATATTTCCTTTTCCACCACAGGCCTCGAAGCCCTCCAAATGTCCACTTACAGATTCTAGAAAGAGAGGGTTTCAAAGCTGCTCTATCGAAAGGAAAGTATAACTCTGTGAGTTGAATGCAAACATCACAAAGAAGTCTCTGAGCATGCTTCCGTTTAGCTTTTATGGGAAGATTATCCCTTTTCCATCGAAATCTTCAAAGAGGTCCAAATATCCGCTTGCAGATCCCACTGAAAGAGTGTTTCCAAACTGCTGTATCAAAAGGAACCTTCAACTCCGTGAGTTGAATGCAATCATCACAAAGAAGTTTCTGACAATGCTTTCTCTCTAGTTTTTATGTGAAGATATTTCCTTTTCCACCACAGGCCTGAAAGCGCTCCAAATGTCCACTTGGAGACTCTACGAAAAGAATGTTTCAAAACTGTTCTATGAAAAGCAAGGTTAAACTCTGGGAGTTGAACACATGCCTCACAAAGAAGTTTCTGAGAAGGCATCTCTTTACTCTTTATGTGAAGATATTCCCGTTTGCAAATAAATCTTCACAGAGTTCCACCTATCCATAAGCAGGTTCTAGAAAAAAGAGAATTTCGAAACTGCTCTATCCAAAGGAATGTTCAACTCTGTGAGTTGAATGCAATCATCACAGAGAAGTTTCTGAGAAGGCTTCTGTCTGGATTTTATGTGAAGATATACCCGTTTCGAACAAGGGCCACAAAGTGCTCCAAATATCCACTTGCAGATCCTACAAAAAGAGTGTTTCAAACGTGAACTAACAAAGGAAGGTTCAACTCTGGACTTTGAATGCAAACGTCACAAAGAAGTTTCTGCGAAAGCTTCTGTTCAGTTAGGTGACGTTATCCCGTTTCCAACGAAATCCTCAGGGAGTTCCAAATATCCACTTGCAGATTTTACAAAAAGTGTGTTTCAAAACTGCTCCATCCAAAGGAATGTTCAGCTCTGTGAGTTCAACTAAATCATCACAAAGTATTTTCTGAGAATGCTTCTGTCCAGTTTTTACTCGAAGCTATTTCCTTTACTACCGTAGGCCACAAAGCGTTCCAAATCTCCACTTGCAGATACTACGAAAAGAGTGTTTCAACCTGAACTCACAAGGGACGGTTCAACTCTGTGAGTTGAATGCCAACATCACGAAGAAGTTCCTGACAATGCTTCCGTTTAGTTATGTGAGGTTTATCCCGTTTCCAATGAAATCCTCAGAGAAGTCCATATACCCACTTGCAGATTCCACAAAAAGTGTGTTTCCAAACTGCTCCATCCAAAGCAATGTTCAGCTCTGTGGGTTGAACTCAATCGTCACAAAGTGTTTCCTGAGAATGCTACGGTCTAGTTTTTATGGGCAGTGATTTCCTCTACTGCCATAGGCCTCAAAGCGGTCCAAATCTCCCCTTGCAGATTCTACCAACAGTGTGTTTCCAAACGGCTCTATCAAAGGGAATGTTCAACTCTGTGAGTTGAAAGCAACCATCACAAAGTAGTTTCTGAGAATGCTTCCATCTACCTTTTATGAGTAGATATTTCCTTTTCCACCACAGGCCTTGAAGCCCTCCAAATGTCCACTTACAGATTCTAGAAAGAGAGGGTTTCAAAGCTGCTCTATCGAAAGGAAAGTATAACTCTGTGAGTTGAATGCAAACATCACAAAGAAGTCTCTGAGCATGCTTCCATTTAGCTTTTATGGGAAGATTATCCCTTTTCCATCGAAATCTTCAAAGAGGTCCAAGTATCCGCTTGCAGGTCCCTCTGAAAGAGTGTTTCCAAGCTGCTGTATCAAAAGGAGCCTTCCACTCCGTGAGTTGAATGCAGTCTTCACAAAGAAGGAGTCTCTGATAATGCTTCTCTCTAGTTTTTATGTGAAGATATTTCCTTTTCCACCACAGGCCTGAAAGCGCAAGAAATGTCCACTTGGAGACTCTACGATAAGAATGTTTCAAAACTGTTCTATGTAAAACATGGTTAAACTCTGGGAGTTGAACAAATGCCTCACAAAGAAGTTTCTGAGAAGGCATCTCTTTACTCTTTATGTGAAGATATTCCCGTTTGCAAAGAAATCTTCACAGAGTTCCACCTATCCATGTGCAGGTTCTAGAAAAAAGAGAGCTTCGAAACTGCTCTATCCAAAGGAATGTTCAACTCTGTGAGTTGAATGCAATCATCACAGAGAAGTTTCTGAGAAGGCTTCTGTCTGGATTTTATGTGAAGATATACCCGTTTCGAACGAGGGCCACAAAGTGCTCCAAATATCCACTTGCAGATCCTACAAAAAGAGTGTTTCAAACGTGAACTATCAAAGGAAGGTTCAACTCTGGACTTTGAATGCAAACGTCACAAAGAAGTTTCTGCGAAAGCTTCTGTTCAGTTAGGTGACGTTATCCCGTTTCCAACGAAATCCTCAGGGAGTTCCAAATATCCACTTGCAGATTCTACAAAAAGTGTGTTTCAAAACTGCTCCATCCAAAGGAATGTTCAGCTCTGTGACTTCAACTAAATCATCACAAAGTATTTTCTGAGAATGCTTCTGTCCAGTTTTCACACGAAGCTATATCCTTTACTACCTTAGGCCTCAAAGCGTTCCAAATCTCCACTTGCAGATACTACGAAAAGAGTGTTTCACCCTGAACTCACAAGGGAAGTTTCAACTCTGGGAGTTGAATGCCAACATCACGAAGAAGTTTCTGAGAATGCTTCTGTTTAGTTATGTGAGGTTTATCCCGTTTCCAACGAAATCCTCAGAGAAGTCCAAATACCCACTTGCAGATTCCACAAAAAGTGTGTTTCCAAACTGCTCCATCCAAAGCAATGTTCAGCTCTGTGGGTTGAACTCAATCGTCACAAAGTGTTTCCTGAGAATGCTACGGTCTAGTTTTTATGGGCAGTGATTTCCTCTACTGCCATAGGCCTCAATGCGGTCCAAATCTCCCCTTGCAGATTCTACCAACAGTGTGTTTCCAAACGGCTCTATCAAAGGGAATGTTCAACTCTGTGAGTTGAAAGCAACCATCACAAAGTAGTTCCTGAGAATGCTTCCATCTACCTTTTATGAGTAGATATTTCCTTTTCCACCACAGGCCTCGAAGCCCTCCAAATGTCCACTTACAGATTCTAGAAAGAGAGGGTTTCAAAGCTGCTCTATCGAAAGGAAAGTATAACTCTGTGAGTTGAATGCAAACATCACAAAGAAGTCTCTGAGCATGCTTCCGTTTAGCTTTTATGGGAAGATTATCCCTTTTCCATCGAAATCTTCAAAGAGGTCCAAATATCCGCTTGCAGTTCCCACCGAAAGAGTGTTTCCAAACTGCTGTATCAAAAGGAACCTACAACTCTGTGAGTTGAATGCAATCATGACAAAGAAGTTTCTGACAATGCTTCTCTCTAGTTTTTAGCTGAAGATATTTCCTTTTCCACCACAGGCCTGAAAGCGCTCCAAATGTCCACTTGGAGACTCTACGAAAAGAATGTTTCAAAACTGCTCTATGAAAAGCAAGGTTAAACTCTGGGAGTTGAACACATGCCTCACAAAGAAGTTTCTGAGAAGGCATCTCTTTTCTCTTTATGTGAAGATATTCCCGTTTGCAAAGAAATCTTCACAGAGTTCCACCTATCCATGTGCAGGTTCTAGAAAAAAGAGAGTTTCGAAACTGCTCTATCCAAAGTAATGTTCAACTCTGTGAGTTGAATGCAATCATCACAGAGAAGTTTCTGAGAAGGCTTCTGTCTGGATTTTATGTGAAGATATACCCGTTTCGAACGAGGGACACAAAGTGCTCCAAATATCCACTTGCAGATCCTACAAAAAGAGTGATTCAAACGTGAACTATCAAAGGAAGGTTCAACTCTGGACTTTGAATGCAAACGTCACAAAGAAGTTTCTGCGAAAGCTTCTGTTTAGTTAGGTGACGTTATCCCGTTTCCAACGAAATCCTCAGAGAGGTCCAAATATCCACTTGCAGATTCTACAAAAAGTGTGTTTCAAAACTGCTCCATCCAAAGGCATGTTGTGCTCTGTGAGTTAAATTCAATCATCAGAAAGAATTTTCTAAGAATGCTTCTGTCCAGTTTTTACACGAAGCTATATCCTTTACTACCTTAGGCCTCAAAGCGTTCCAAATCTCCACTTGCAGATACTACGAAAAGAGTGTTTCACCCTGAACTCACAAGGGAAGTTTCAACTCTGGGAGTTGAATGCCAACATCACCGAGAAGTTTCTGAGAATGCTTCTGTTTAGTTATGTGAGGTTTATCCCGTTTCCAACGAAATCCTCAGAGAAGTCCAAATACCCACTTGCAGATTCCACAAAAAGTGTGTTTCCAAACTGCTCCATCCAAAGCAATGTTCAGCTCTGTGGGTTGAACTCAATCGTCACAAAGTGTTTCCTGAGAATGCTACTGTCTAGGTTTCATGGGCAGTGATTTCCTCTACTGCCTTAGGCTTCAAAGCGGTCCAAATCTCCCCTTGCAGATTCTACCAAAAGTGTGTTTCCAAACGACTCTACCAAAGGGAATGTTCAGCTCTGTGACTTGAAAGGAATCATCAAAATGTAGTTTCGGAGAATGCTTCCATCTAGCTTTTATGAGGAGATAGTTGATTTTCCACCACAGGCCTCGAAACCCTCCAAATGTGCACTTGCAGATTCTAGAAAGAGAGGGTTTCAAAGCTGCTCTATCAAAAGGAAAGTACAACTCTGGGAGTTGAATGCAAACATCACAAAGTAGTCTCTGAGCATGCTTCCATTTAGCTTTTATGGGAAGATTATCCCTTTTCCATCGAAATCTTCAAAGAGGTCCAAGTATCCGCTTGCAGGTCCCTCTGAAAGAGTGTTTCCAAGCTGCTGTATCAAAAGGAGCCTTCCACTCCGTGAGTTGAATGCAGTCATCACAAAGAAGAAGTCTCTGACAATGCTTCTCTCTAGTTTTTATGTGAAGATATTTCCTTTTCCACCACAGGCCTGAAAGCGCAACAAATGTCCACTTGGAGACTCTACGAAAAGAATGTTTCAAAACTGTTCTATGAAAAGCAAGGTTAAACTCTGGGAGTTGAACACATGCCTCACAAAGAAGTTTCTGAGAAGGCATCTCTTTACTCTTTATGTGAAGATATTCCCGTTTGCAAAGAAATCTTCACAGAGTTCCACCTATCCATGTGCAGGTTCTAGAAAAAAGAGAGTTTCGAAACTGCTCTATCCAAAGGAATGTTCAACTCTGTGAGTTGAATGCAATCATCACAGAGAAGTTTCTGAGAAGGCTTCTGTCTGGATTTTATGTGAAGATATACCCGTTTCGAATGAGGGCCACAAAGTGCTCCAAATATCCACTTGCAGATCCTACAAAAAGAGTGTTTCAAACGTGAACTATCAAAGGAAGGTTCAACTCTGGACTTTGAACGCAAACGTCACAAAGAAGTTTCTGCGAAAGCTTCTGTTCAGTTAGGTGACGTTATCCCGTTTCCAACGAAATCCTCAGGGAGTTCCAAATATCCACTTGCAGATTCTACAAAAAGTGTGTTTCAAAACTGCTCCATCCAAAGGAATGTTCAGCTCTGTGAGTTCAACTAAATCATCACAAATTTTTTTCTGAGAATGCTTCTGTCCAGTTTTTACACGAAGCTATATCCTTTACTAGCTTAGGCCTCAAAGTGTTCCAAATCTCCCCTTGCAGATACTACGAAAAGAGTGTTTCACCCTGAACTCACAAGGGAAGTTTCAACTCTGGGAGTTGAATGCCAACATCACGAAGAAGTTTCTGAGAATGCTTCTGTTTAGTTATGTGAGGTTTATCCCGTTTCCAACGAAATCCTCAGAGAAGTCCAAATACCCACTTGCAGATTCCACAAAAAGTGTGTTTCCAAACTGCTCCATCCAAAGCAATGTTCAGCTCTGTGGGTTGAACTCAATCGTCACAAAGTGTTTCCTGAGAATGCTGCTGTCTAGTTTTTATGGGCAGTGATTTCCTCTACTGCCATAGGCCTCAAATCGGTCCAAATCTCCCCTTGCCGATTCTGCCAAAAGTGTGTTTCCAAACAGCTCTATCAAAGGGAATGTTCAACTCTGTGACCTGAAAACAATCATCACAAAGTAGTTTCTGAGAATGCTTCCATCTAGCTTTTATGAGTAGATATTTCCTTTTCCAACACAGGCCTCGAAGCCCTCTAAATGTCCACTTGCAGATTCTAGAAAGAGAGGGTTTCAAAGCTGCTCTATCGAAAGGAAAGTACAACTCTGTGAGTTGAATGCAAACATCACCAAGAAGGATCTGAGCACGCTTCCATTTAGCTTTTATGGGAAGATTATCCCTTTTCCATCGAAATCTTCCAAGAGCTCCAAGTATCCGCTTGCAGGTCCCTCTGATAGAGTGTTTCCAAGCGGCTGTATCAAAAGGAGCCTTCCACTCCGTGAGATGAATGCAGTCATCACAAAGAAGAAGTTTCTGACAATGCTTCTCTCTAGTTTTTATGTGAAGATATTTCCTTTTCCACCACAGGCCTGAAAGCGCTCCAAATGTCCACTTGGAGACTCTACGAAAAGAATGTTTCAAAACTGTTCTATGAAAAGCAAGGTTAAACTCTGGGAGTTGAACACATGCCTCACAAAGAAGTTTCTGAGAAGGCATCTCTTTACTCTTTATGTGAAGATATTCCCTTTTGCAAAGAAATCTTCACAGAGTTCCACCTATCCATGTGCAGGTTCTAGAAAAAAGAGAGTTTCGAAACTGCTCTATCCAAAGGAATGTTCAACTCTGTGAGTTGAATGCAATCATCACAGAGAAGTTTCTGAGAAGGCTTCTGTCTGGATTTTATGTGAAGATATACCCGTTTCGAACGAGGGCCACAAAGTGCTCCAAATATCCACTTGCAGATCCTACAAAAAGAGTGTTTCAAGCGTGAAGTATCAAAGGAAGTTTCAACTCTGGACTTTGAATGCAAACGTCACAAAGAAGTTTCTGCGAAAGCTTCTGTTCAGTTAGGTGACGATATCCCGTTTCCAACGAAATCCTCAGGGAGTTCCAAATATCCACTTGCAGATTCTACAAAAAGTGTGTTTCAAAACTGCTCCATCCAAAGGAATGTTCAGCTCTGTGAGTTCAACTAAATCATCACAAAGTATTTTCTGAGAATGCTTCTGTCCAGTTTTATCACGAAGCTATTTCCTTTACTATCGTAGGCCTCAAAGCGTTCCAAATCTCCACTTGCAGATACTACGAAAAGAGTGTTTCAACCTGAACTAACAAGGGAAGGTTCAACTCTGTGAGTTGAATGCCAACATCACGAATAAGTTTCTGAGAATTCTTCTGTTTAGTTATGTGAGGTTTATCCCGTTTCCAATGAAATCCTCAGAGAAGTCCAAATATCCACTTGCAGATTCCACAAAAAGTGTGTTTCCAAACTGCTCCATCCAAAGCAATGTTCAGCTCTGTGGGTTGAACTCAATCGTCACAAAGTGTTTCCTGAGAATGCTACTGTCTAGGTTTCACGGGCAGTGATTTCCTCTACTGCCTTAGGCTTCAAAGCGGTCCAAATCTCCCCTTGCAGATTCTACCAAAAGTGTGTTTCCAAACGGCTCTACCAAAGGGAATGTTCAACTCTGTGACTTGAAAGGAATCATCAAAATGTAGTTTCGGAGAATGCTTCCATCTAGCTTTTATGAGGAGATATTTCCTTTTCCACCACAGGCCTCGAAGCCCTCCAAATGTCCACTTGCAGATTCTAGAAAGAGAGGGTTTCAAAGCTGCTCTATCAAAAGGAAAGTACAACTCTGGGAGTTGAATGCAAACATCAGAAAGAAGTCTCTGAGCATGCTTCCGTTTAGCTTTTATGGGAAGATTATCCCTTTTCCATCGAAATCTTCAAAGAGGTCCAAATATCCGCTTGCAGATCCCACTGAAAGAGTGTTTCCAAACTGCTGTATCAAAAGGAACCTTCAACTCCGTGAGTTGAATGCAATCATCACAAAGAAGTTTCTGACAATGCTTCTCTCTAGTTTTTAGCTGAAGATATTTCCTTTTCCACCACAGGCCTGAAAGCGCTCCAAATGTCCACTTGGAGACTCTACGAAAAGAATGTTTCAAAAGTGCTCTATGAAAAGCAAGGTTAAACTCTGGGAGTTGAACACATGCCTCACAAAGAAGTTTCTGAGAAGGCATCTCTTTACTCTTTATGTGAAGATATTCCAGTTTGCAAAGAAATCTTCACAGAGTTCCACCTATCCATGTGCAGGTTCTAGAAAAAAGAGAGTTTCGAAACTGCTCTCTCCAAAGGAATGTTCAACTCTGTGAGTTGAATGCAATCATCACAGAGAAGTTTCTGAGAAGGCTTCTGTCTGGATTTTATGTGAAGATATACCCGTTTCGAACGAGGGCCACAAAGTGCTCCAAATATCCACTTGCAGATCCTACAAAAAGAGTGTTTCAAACGTGAACTATCAAAGGAAGGTTCAACTCTGGACTTTGAATGCAAACGTCACAAAGAAGTTTCTGCGAAAGCTTCTGTTCAGTTAGGTGACGTTATCCCGTTTCCAACGAAATCCTCAGGGAGTTCTAAATATCCACTTGCAGATTCTACAAAAAGTGTGTTTCAAAACTGCTCCATCCAAAGGAATGTTCAGCTCTGTGAGTTCAACTAAACCATCACAAAGTATTCTCTGGGAATGCTTCTGTCCAGTTTTTACACGAAGCTATATCCTTTACTACCTTAGGCCTCAAAGCGTTCCAAATCTCCACTTGCAGATACTACAAAAAGAGTGTTTCACCCTGAACTCACAAGGGAAGTTTCAACTCTGGGAGTTGAATGCCAACATCACGAAGAAGTTTCTGAGAATGCTTCTGTTTAGTTATGTGAGGTTTATCCCGTTTCCAACGAAATCCTCAGAGAAGTCCAAATACCCACTTGCAAATTCCAAAAAAGTGTTTTTCGAAACTGCTCCATCCAAAGCAATGTTCAGCTCTGTGGGTTGAACTCAATCGTCACAAAGTGTTTCCTGAGAATGCTACTGTCTACTTTTTATGGGCAGTGATTTCCTCTATTGCCATAGGCCTCAAAGCGGTCCAAATCTCCCCTTGCAGATTCTACCAAGAGTGTGTTTCCAAACGGCTCTATCAAAGGGAATATTCAACTCTGTGAGTTGAAAGCAACCATCACAAAGTGGTTTCTGAGAACGCTTCCATCTACCTTTTATGAGTAGATATTTCCTTTTCCACCACAGGCCTCGAAGCCCTCCAAATGTCCACTTACAGATTCTAGAAAGAGAGGGTTTCAAAGCTGCTCTATCGAAAGGAAAGTATAACTCTGTGAGTTGAATGCAAACATCACAAAGAAGTCTCTGAGCATGCTTCCGTTTAGCTTTTATGGGAAGATTATCCCTTTTCCATCGAAATCTTCAAAGAGGTCCAAATATCCGCTTGCAGATCCCACTGAAAGAGTGTTTCCAAACTGCTGTATCAAAAGGAACCTTCAACTCCGTGAGTTGAATGCAATCATCACAAAGAAGTTTCTGACAATGCTTCTCTCTAGTTTTTATGTGAATATATTTCCTTTTCCACCACAGGCCTGAAAGCGCAACAAATGTCCACTTGGAGACTCTACGAAAAGAATGTTTCAAAACTGTTCTATGAAAAGCAAGGTTAAACTCTGGGAGTTGAACACATGCCTCACAAAGAAGTTTCTGAGAAGGCATCTCTTTCCTCTTTATGTGAAGATATTCCCGTTTGCAAAGAAATCTTCACAGAGTTCCACCTATCCATGTGCAGGTTCTAGAAAAAAGAGAGTTTCGAAACTGCTCTATCCAAAGGAATGTTCAACTCTGTGAGTTGAATGCAATCATCACAGAGAAGTTTCTGAGAAGGCTTCTGTCTGGATTTTATGTGAAGATATACCCGTTTCGAATGAGGGCCACAAAGTGCTCCAAATATCCACTTGCAGATCCTACAAAAAGAGTGTTTCAAACGTGAACTATCAAAGGAAGGTTCAACTCTGGACTTTGAACGCAAACGTCACAAAGAAGTTTCTGCGAAAGCTTCTGTTCAGTTAGGTGACGTTATCCCGTTTCCAACGAAATCCTCAGGGAGTTCCAAATATCCACTTGCAGATTCTACAAAAAGTGTGTTTCAAAACTGCTCCATCCAAAGGAATGTTCAGCTCTGTGAGTTCAACTAAATCATCACAAATTTTTTTCTGAGAATGCTTCTGTCCAGTTTTTACACGAAGCTATATCCTTTACTACCTTAGGCCTCAAAGCGTTCCAAATCTCCACTTGCAGATACTACGAAAAGAGTGTTTCACCCTGAACTCACAAGGGAAGTTTCAACTCTGGGAGTTGAATGCCAACATCACGAAGAAGTTTCTGAGAATGCTTCTGTTTAGTTATGTGAGGTTTATCCCGTTTCCAACGAAATCCTCAGAGAAGTCCAAATACCCACTTGCAGATTCCACAAAAAGTGTGTTCCCAAACTGCTCCATCCAAAGCAATGTTCAGCTCTGTGGGTTGAACTCAATCGTCACAAAGTGTTTCCTGAGAATGCTACGGTCTAGTTTTTATGGGCAGTGATTTCCTCTACTGCCATAGGCCTCAAAGCGGTCCAAATCTCCCCTTGCAGATTCTACCAACAGTGTGTTTCCAAACGGCTCTATCAAAGGGAATGTTCAACTCTGTGAGTTGAAAGCAACCATCACAAAGTAGTTTCTGAGAATGCTTCCATCTACCTTTTATGAGTAGATATTTCCTTTTCCACCGCAGGCCTTGAAGCCCTCCAAATGTCCACTTACAGATTCTAGAAAGAGAGGGTTTCAAAGCTGCTCTATCGAAAGGAAAGTATAACTCTGTGAGTTGAATGCAAACATCACAAAGAAGTCTCTGAGCATGCTTCCGTTTAGCTTTTATGGGAAGATTATCCCTTTTCCATCGAAATCTTCAAAGAGGTCCAAATATCCGCTTGCAGTTCCCACCGAAAGAGTGTTTCCATACTGCTGTATCAAAAGGAACCTACAACTCTGTGAGTTGAATGCAATCATCACAAAGAAGTTTCTGACAATGCTTCTCTCTAGTTTTTAGCTGAAGATATTTCCTTTTCCACCACAGGTCTGAAAGCGCTCCAAATGTCCACACGGAGACTCTACGAAAAGAATGTTTCAAAACTGCTCTATTGAAAGCAAGGTTAAACTCTGGGAGTTGAACACATGCCTCACAAAGAAGTTTCTGAGAAGGCATCTCTTTACTCTTTATGTGAAGATATTCCCGTTTGCAAAGAAATCTTCACAGAGTTCCACCTATCCATGTGCAGGTTCTAGAAAAAAGAGAGTTTCAAAACTGCTCTATCCAAAGGAATGTTCAACTCTGTGAGTTGAATGCAATCATCACAGAGAAGTTTCTGAGAAGGCTTCTGTCTGGATTTTATGTGAAGATATACCCGTTTCGAACGAGGGCCACAAAGTGCTCCAAATATCCACTTGCAGATCCTACAAAAAGAGTGTTTCAAACGTGAAGTATCAAAGGAAGTTTCAACTCTGGACTTTGAATGCAAACGTCACAAAGAAGTTTCTGCGAAAGCTTCTGTTTAGTTAGGTGACGTTATCCCGTTTCCAACGAAATCCTCAGAGAGGTCCAAATATCCACTTGCAGATGCTACAAAAAGTGTGTTTCAAAACTGCTCCATCCAAAGGAATGTTCAGCTCTGTGAGTTACACTCAATCATCTCAAACTATTTTCTGAGAATGCTTCTGTCCAGTTTTTACTCGAAGCTATTTCCTTTACTACCGTAGGCCACAAAGCGTTCCAAATCTCCACTTGCAGATACTACGAAAAGAGAGTTTCATCCTGATCTCACAAGGGACGGTTCAACTCTCTGAGTTGAATGCCAACATCACGTAGAAGTTCCTGACAATGCTTCTGTTTAGTTAGGTGAGGTTTATCCCGTTTCCAACGAAATCCTCAGAGAAGTCCAAATATCCACTTGCAGATCCTACAAAAAGTGTGTTTCGAAACTGCTCCATCCAAAGGAATGTTCAGCTCTGTGAGTTGAACTCAATCGTCACAAAGTGTTTCCTGAGAATGCTACTGTCTAAATTTCATGGGCAGTGATTTCCTCTACTGCCATAGGCTTCAAAGCGGTCCAAATCTCCCCTTGCAGATTCTACCAAAAGTGCGTTTCCAAACGGCTCTACCAAAGGGAATGTTCAACTCTGTGACTTGAAAGGAATCATCAAAATGTAGTTTCGGAGAATGCTTCCATTTAGCTTTTATGAGTAGATATTTCCTTTTCCACCACAGGCCTCGAAGCCCTCCAAATGTCCACTTGCAGATTCTAGAAAGAGAGGGTTTCAAAGCTGCTCTATCAAAAGGAAAGTACAACTCTGGGAGTTGAATGTAAACATCACAAAGAAGTCTCTGAGCATGCTTCCATTTAGCTTTTATGGGAAGATTATCCCTTTTCCATCGAAATCTTCAAAGAGGTCCAAGTATCCGCTTGCAGGTCCCTCTGAAAGAGTGTTTCCAAGCTGCTGTATCAAAAGGAGCCTTCCACTCCGTGAGTTGAATGCAGTCATCACAAAGGAGAAGTTTCTGACAATGCGTCTCTCTATTTTTTAGCTGAAGATATTTCCTTTTCCTCCACAGGCCTGAAAGCGCTCCAAATGTCCACTTGGAGACTCTACGAAAAGAATGTTTCAAAACTGCTCTATGAAAAGCAAGGTTAAACTCTGGGAGTTGAACACATGCCTCACAAAGAAGTTTCTGAGAAGGCATCTCTTTACTCTTTATGTGAAGATATTCCCGTTTGCAAAGAAATCTTCACAGAGTTCCACCTATCCATGTGTAGGTTCTAGAAAAAAGAGAGTTTCGAAACTGCTCTATCCAAAGGAATGTTCAACTCTGTGAGTTGAATGCAATCATCACAGAGAAGTTTCTGAGAAGGCTTCTGTCTGGATTTTATGTGAAGATATACCCGTTTCGAACGAGGGCCACAAAGTGCTCCAAATATCCACTTGCAGATCCTACAAAAAGAGTGTTTCAAACGTCAACTATCAAAGGAAGGTTCAACTCTGGACTTTGAATGCAAACGTCACAAAGAAGTTTCTGCGAAAGCTTCTGTTCAGTTAGGTGACGTTATCCCGTTTCCAACGAAATGCTCAGGGAGTTCCAAATATCCACTTGCAGATTCTACAAAAAGTGTGTTTCAAAACTGCTCCATCCAAAGGAATGTTCAGCTCTGTGAGTTCAACTAAATCATCACAAAGTATTTTCTGAGAATGCTTCTGTCCAGTTTTTACACGAAGCTATATCCTTTACTACCTTAGGCCTCAAAGCGTTCCAAATCTCCACTTGCAGATACTACGAAAAGAGTGTTTCACCCTGAACTCACAAGGGAAGTTTCAACTCTGGGAGTTGAATGCCAACATCACGAAGAAGTTTCTGAGAATGCTTCTGTTTAGTTATGTGAGGTTTATCCCGTTTCCAATGAAATCCTCAGAGAAGTCCAAATACCCACTTGCAGATTCCACAAAAAGTGTGTTTCCAAACTGCTCCATCCAAAGCAATGTTCAGCTCTGTGGGTTGAACTCAATCGTCACAAAGTGTTTCCTGAGAATGCTATGGTCTAGTTTTTATGGGCAGTGATTTCCTCTACTGCCATAGGCCTCAAAGCGGTCCAAATCTCCCCTTGCAGATTCTACCAACAGTGTGTTTCCAAACGGCTCTATCAAAGGGAATGTTCAACTCTGTGAGTTGAAAGCAACCATCACAAAGTAGTTTCTGAGAATGCTTCCATCTAGCTTTTATGAGTAGATATTTCCTTTTCCACCACAGGCCTCGAAGCCCTCCAAATGTCCACTTGCAGATTCTAGAAAGAGAGGGTTTCAAAGCTGCTCTATCAAAAGGAAAGTACAACTCTGGGAGTTGAATGCAAACATCACAAAGAAGTCTCTGAGCATGCTTCCGTTTAGCTTTTATGGGAAGATTATCCCTTTTCCATCGAAATCTCCAAAGAGGTCCAAATATCCGCTTGCAGATCCCACTCAAAGAGTGTTTCCAAACTGCTGTATCAAAAGGAACCTTCAGCTCCGTGAGTTGAATGCCATAATCATAAAGACGTTTCTGACAATGCTTCTCTCTAGTTTTTAGCTGAAGATATTTCCTTTTCCACCACAGGCCTGAAAGCGCTCCAAATGTCCACTTGGAGACTCTACGAAAAGAATGTTTCAAAAGTGCTCTATGAAAAGCAAGGTTAAACTCTGGGAGTTGAACACATGCCTCACACAGAAGTTTCTGAGAAGGTATCTCTTTCCTCTTTATGTGAAGATGTTCCCGTTTGCAAAGAAATCTTCACAGAGTTCCACCTATCCATGTGCAGGTTCTAGAAAAAAGAGAGTTTCGAAACTGCTCTATCCAAAGGAATGTTCAACTCTGTGAGTTGAAAGCAATCATCCCAGAGAAGTTTCTGAGAAGGCTTCTGTCTGGATTTTATGTGAAGATATACCCGTTTCGAACGAGGGCCACAAAGTGCTCCAAATATCCACTTGCAGATCCTACAAAAAGAGTGTTTCAAACGTGAACTATCAAAGGAAGGTTCAACTCTGGACTTTGAATGCAAACGTCACAAAGAAGTTTCTGCGAAAGCTTCTGTTCAGTTAGGTGACGATATCCCGTTTCCAACGAAATCCTCAGGGAGTTCCAAATATCCACTTGCAGATTCTACAAGAAGTGTGTTTCAAAACTGCTCCATCCAAAGGAATGTTCAGCTCTGTGAGTTCAACTAAATCATCACAAAGTATTCTCTGAGAATGCTTCTGTCCAGTTTTTACACGAAGCTATATCCTTTACTAGCTTAGGCCTCAAAGCGTTCCAAATCTCCACTTGCAGATACTACGAAAAGAGTGTTTCACCCTGAACTCACAAGGGAAGGTTCAACTCTGTGAGTTGAATGCCAACATCACGAAGAAGTTTCTGAGAATGCTTCTGTTTAGTTATGTGAGGTTTATCCCGTTTCCAACGAAATCCTCAGAGAAGTCCAAATACCCACTTGCAGATTCCACAAAAAGTGTGTTTCCAAACTGCTCCATCCAAAGCAATGTTCAGCTCTGTGGGTTGAACTCAATCGTCACAAAGTGTTTCCTGAGAATGCTACGGTCTATTTTTTATGGGCAGTGATTTCCTCTACTGCCATAGGCCTCAAAGCGGTCCAAATCTCCCCTTGCAGATTCTACCAAAAGTGTGTTTCCAAACGGCTCTATCAAAGGGAATGTTCAACTCTGTGAGTTGAAAGCAACCATTACATAGTAGTTTCTGAGAATGCTTCCATCTACCTTTTATGAGTAGATATTTCCTTTTCCACCACAGGCCTCGAAGCCCTCCAAATGTCCACTTACAGATTCTAGAAAGAGAGGGTTTCAAAGCTGCTCTATCGAAAGGAAAGTATAACTCTGTGAGTTGAATGCAAACATCACAAAGAAGTCTCTGAGCATGCTTCCGTTTAGCTTTTATGGGAAGATTATCCCTTTTCCATCGAAATCTTCAAAGAGGTCCAAATATCCGCTTGCAGATCCCACTGAAAGAGTGTTTCCAAACTGCTGTATCAAAAGGAACCTTCAACTCCGTGAGTTGAATGCAATCATCACAAAGAAGTTTCTGACAATGCTTCTCTCTAGTTTTTAGCTGAAGATATTTCCTTTTCCACCACAGGCCTGAAAGCGCTCCACATGTCCACTTGGAGACTCTACGAAAAGAATGTTTCAAAAGTGCTCTATGAAAAGCAATGTTAAACTCTGGGAGTTGAACACATGCCTCACAAAGAAGTTTCTGAGAAGGCATCTGTTTACTCTTTATGTGAAGATATTCCCGTTTGCAAAGAAATCTTCACAGAGTTCCACCTATCCATGGGCAGATTCTAGAGAAACAGAGTTTCGAAACTGCTCTATCCAAAGGAATGTTCAACTCTCTGAGTTGAATGCAATCATCACAGAGAGGTTCCTGAGAAGGCTTCTGTCTGGATTTTATGTGAAGATATACCCGTTTCGAACGAGGGCCACAAATTGCTCCAAATATCCACTTGCAGATCCTACAAAAAGAGTGTTTCAAACGTGAACTATCAAAGGAAGTTTCAACTCTGGACTTTGAATGCAAACGTCAGAAAGAAGTTTCTGCGAAAGCTTCTGTTCAGTTAGGTGACGTTATCCCGTTTCCAACGAAATCCTCAGGGAGTTCCAAATATCCACTTGCAGATTCTACAAAAAGTGTGTTTCAAAACTGCTCCATCCAAAGGAATGTTCAGCTCGGTGAGTTCAACTAAATCATCACAAAGTATTCTCTGAGAATGCTTCTGTCCAGTTTTTACACGAAGCTATATCCTTTACTACCTTAGGCCTCAAAGCGTTCCAAATCTCCACTTGCAGATACTACGAAAAGAGTGTTTCACCCTGAACTCACAAGGGAAGTTTCAAATCTGGGAGTTGAATGCCAACATCACGAAGAAGTTTCTGAGAATGCTTCTGTTTAGTTATGTGAGGTTTATCCCGTTTCCAACGAAATCCTCAGAGAAGTCCAAATACCCACTTGCAGATTCCACAAAAAGTGTGTTTCCAAACTGCTCCATCCAAAGCAATGTTCAGCTCTGTGGGTTGAACTCAATCGTCACAAAGTGTTTCCTGAGAATGCTACTGTCTACTTTTTATGGGCAGTGATTTCCTCTACTGCTATAGGCCTCAAAGCGGTCCAAATCTCCGCTTGCAGATTCTACCAAGAATGTGTTTCCAAACGGCTCTATCAAAGGGAATGTTCAACTCTGTGACTTGAAAGCAACCATCACAAAGTAGTTTCTGTGAATGCTTCCATTTACCTTTTATGAGTAGATATTTCCTTTTCCACCACAGGCCTCGAAGCCCTCCAAATGTCCACTTACAGATTCTAGAAAGAGAGGGTTTCAAAGCTGCTCTATAGAAAGGAACGTATAACTCTGTGAGTTGAATGCAAACATCACAAAGAAGTCTCTGAGCATGCTTCCGTTTAGCTTTTATGGGAAGATTATCCCTTTTCCATCGAAATCTTCAAAGAGGTCCAAATATCCGCTTGCAGATCCCACTGAAAGAGTGTTTCCAAACTGCTGTATCAAAAGGAACCTTCAACTCCGTGAGTTGAATGCAATCATCACAAAGAAGTTTCTGACAATGCTTCTCTCTAGTTTTTAGCTGAAGATATTTCCTTTTCCACCACAGGCCTGAAAGCGCTCCAAATGTCCACTTGGAGACTCTAAGAAAAGAATGTTTCAAAAGTGCTCTATGAAAAGCAAGGTTAAACTCTGGGAGTTGAACACATGCCTCACAAAGAAGTTTCTGAGAAGGCATCTCTTTCCTCTTTATGTGAAGATATTCCCGTTTGCAAAGAAATCTTCACAGAGTTCCACCTATCCATGTGCAGGTTCTAGAAAAAAGAGAGTTTCGAAACTGCTCTATCCAAAGGAATGTTCAACTCTGTGAGTTGAATGCAATCATCACAGAGAAGTTTCTGAGAAGGCTTCTGTCTGGATTTTATGTGAAGATATACCCGTTTCGAACGAGGGCCACAAAGTGCTCCAAATATCCACTTGCAGATCCTACAAAAAGAGTGTTTCAAACGTCAACTATCAAAGGAAGGTTCAACTCTGGACTTTGAATGCAAACGTCACAAAGAAGATTTGCGAAAGCTTCTGTTCAGTTAGGTGACGTTATCCCGTTTCCAACGAAATCCTCAGGGAGTTCCAAATATCCACTTGCAGATTCTACAAAAAGTGTGTTTCAAAACTGCTCCATCCAAAGGAATGTTCAGCTCTGTGAGTTCAACTAAACCATCACAAAGTATTCTCTGAAAATGCTTCTGTTCAGTTTTCACACGAAGCTATATCCTTTACTACCTTACGCCTCAAAGCGTTCCAAATCTCCACTTGCAGATACTACGAAAAGAGTGTTTCACCCTGAACTCACAAGGGAAGGTTCAACTCTGGGAGGTGAATGCCAACATCACGAAGAAGTTTCTGAGAATGCTTCTGTTTAGTTATGTGAGGTTTATCCCGTTTCCAACGAAATCCTCAGAGAAGTCCAAATACCCACTTGCAGATTCCACAAAAGTGTGTTTCCAAACTGCTCCATCCAAAGCAATGTTCAGCTCTGTGGGTTGAACTCAATCGTCACAAAGTGTTTCCTGAGAATGCTACGGTCTAGTTTTTATGGGCAGTGATTTCCTCTACTGCCATAGGCCTCAAAGCGGTCCAAATCTCCCCTTGCAGATTCTACCAAAAGTGTGTTTCCAAACGGCTCTATCAAACGGAATGTTCAACTCTTTGAGTTGAAAGCAACCATCACAAATTAGTTTCTGAGAATGCTTCCATCTAGCTTTTATGAGGAGATATTTCCTTTTCCACCACAGGCCTCGAAACCCTCCAAATGTCCACTTTCAGATTCTAGAAAGAGAGGGTTTCAAAGCTGCTCTATCAAAAGGAAAGTACAACTCTGGGATTTGAATGCAAACATCAGAAAGAAGTCTCTGAGCATGCTTCCATTTAGCTTTTATGGGAAGATTATCCCTTTTCCATCGAAATCTTCAAAGAGGTCCAAGTATCCGCTTGCAGGTCCCTCTGAAAGAGTGTTTCCAAGCTGCTGTATCAAAAGGAGCCTTCCACTCCGTGAGTTGAATGCAGTCATCACAAAGGAGAAGTTTCTGACAATGCGTCTCTCTAGTTTTTAGCTGAAGATATTTCCTTTTCCACCACAGGCCTGAAAGCGCTCCACATGTCCACTTGGAGACTCTACGAAAAGAATGTTTCAAAAGTGCTCTATGAAAAGCAATGTTAAACTCTGGGAGTTGAACACATGCCTCACAAAGAAGTTTCTGAGAAGGCATCTCTTTACTCTTTATGTGAAGATATTCCCGTTTGCAAAGAAATCTTCACAGAGTTCCACCTATCCATGTGCAGGTTCTAGAAAAAAGAGAGTTTCGAAACTGCTCTATCCAAAGGAATGTTCAACTCTGTGAGTTGAATGCAATCATCACAGAGAAGTTTCTGAGAAGGCTTCTGTCTGGATTTTATGTGAAGATATACCCGTTTCGAACGAGGGCCACAAAGTGCTCCAAATATCCACTTGCAGATCCTACAAAAAGAGTGTTTCAAACGTGAAGTATCAAAGGAAGTTTCAACTCTGGACTTTGAATGCAAACGTCACAAAGAAGTTTCTGCGAAAGCTTCTGTTCAGTTAGGTGTCGTTATCCCGTTTCCAACGAAATCCTCAGGGAGTTCCAAATATCCACTTGCAGATTCTACAAAAAGTGTGTTTCAAAACTGCTCCATCCAAAGGAATGTGCAGCTCTGTGAGTTCAACTAAATCATCACAAAGTATTTTCTGAGAATGCTTCTGTCCAGTTTTCACACGAAGCTATATCCTTTACTACCTTAGGCCTCAAAGCGTTCCAAATCTCCACTTGCAGATACTACGAAAAGAGTGTTTCACCCTGAACTCACAAGGGAAGGTTCAACTCTGGGAGTTGAATGCCAACATCACGAAGAAGTTTCTGAGAATGCTTCTGTTTAGTTATGTGAGGTTTATCCCGTTTCCAACGAAATCCTCAGAGAAGTCCAAATACCCACTTGCAGATTCCACAAAAAGTGTGTTTCCAAACTGCTCCATCCAAAGCAATGTTCAGCTCTGTGGGTTGAACTCAATCGTCACAAAGTGTTTCCTGAGAATGCTACGGTCTAGTTTTTATGGGCAGTGATTTCCTCTACTGCCATAGGCCTCAAAGCGGTCCAAATCTCCCCTTGCAGATTCTACCGACAGTGTGTTTCCAAACGGCTCTATCAAACGGAATGTTCAACTCTTTGAGTTGAAAGCAACCATCACAAAGTAGTTTCTGAGAATGCTTCCATCTACCTTTTATGAGTAGATATTTCCTTTTCCACCACAGGCCTCGAAGCCCTCCAAATGTCCACTTACAGATTCTAGAAAGAGAGGGTTTCAAAGCTGCTCTATCGAAAGGAAAGTATAACTCTGTGAGTTGAATGCAAACATCACAAAGAAGTCTCTGAGCATGCTTCCGTTTAGCTTTTATGGGAAGATTATCCCTTTTCCATCGAAATCTTCAAAGAGGTCCAAATATCCGCTTGCAGATCCCACTGAAAGAGTGTTTCCAAACTGCTGTATCAAAAGGAACCTTCAACTCCGTGAGTTGAATGCAATCATCACAAAGAAGTTTCTGACAATGCTTCTCTCTAGTTTTTAGCTGAAGATATTTCCTTTTCCACCACAGGCCTGAAAGCGCTCCAAATGTCCACTTGGAGACTCTACGAAAAGAATGTTTCAAAAGTGGTCTATGAAAAGCAAGGTTAAACTCTGGGAGTTGAACACATGCCTCACACAGAAGTTTCTGAGAAGGTATCTCTTTCCTCTTTATGTGAAGATATTCCCGTTTGCAAAGAAATCTTCACAGAGTTCCACCTATCCATGTGCAGGTTCTAGAAAAAAGAGAGTTTCGAAACTGCTCTATCCAAAGGAATGTTCAACTCTGTGAGTTGAATGCAATCATCACAGAGAAGTTTCTGAGAAGGCTTCTGTCTGGATTTTATGTGAAGATATACCCGTTTCGAACGAGGGCCACAAAGTGCTCCAAATATCCACTTGCAGATCCTACAAAAAGAGTGTTTCAAACGTGAACTATCAAAGGAAGGTTCAACTCTGGACTTTGAATGCAAACGTCACAAAGAAGTTTCTGCGAAAGCTTCTGTTCAGTTAGGTGACGTTATCCCGTTTCCAATGAAATCCTCAGGGAGTTCCAAATATCCACTTGCAGATTCTACAAAAAGTGTGTTTCAAAACTGCTCCATCCAAAGGAATGTTCAGCTCTGTGACTTCAACTAAATCATCACAAAGTATTTTCTGAGAATGCTTCTGTCCAGTTTTTACACGAAGCTATATCCTTTACTACCTTAGGCCTCAAAGCGTTCCAAATCTCCACTTGCAGATACTACGAAAAGAGTGTTTCACCCTGAACTCACAAGGGAAGTTTCAACTCTGGGAGTTGAATGCCAACATCACGAAGAAGTTTCTGAGAATGCTTCTGTTTAGTTATGTGAGGTTTATCCCGTTTCCAACGAAATCCTCAGAGAAGTCCAAATACCCACTTGCAGATTCCACAAAAAGTGTGTTTCCAAACTGCTCCATCCAAAGCAATGTTCAGCTCTGTGGGTTGAACTCAATCGTCACAAAGTGTTTCCTGAGAATGCTACGGTCTAGTTTTTATGGGCAGTGATTTCCTCTACTGCCATAGGCCTCAATGCGGTCCAAATCTCCCCTTGCAGATTCTACCAACAGTGTGTTTCCAAACGGCTCTATCAAAGGGAATGTTCAACTCTGTGAGTTGAAAGCAACCATCACAAAGTAGTTGCCTGAGAATGCTTCCATCTACCTTTTATGAGTAGATATTTCCTTTTCCACCACAGGCCTCGAAGCCCTCCAAATGTCCACTTACAGATTCTAGAAAGAGAGGGTTTCAAAGCTGCTCTATGGAAAGGAAAGTATAACTCTGTGAGTTGAATGCAAACATCACAAAGAAGTCTCTGAGCATGCTTCCGTTTAGCTTTTATGGGAAGATTATCCCTTTTCCATCGAAATCTTCAAAGAGGTCCAAATATCCGCTTGCAGATCCCACTGAAAGAGTGTTTCCAAACTGCTGTATCAAAAGGAACCTTCAACTCCGTGAGTTGAATGCAATCATCACAAAGAAGTTTCTGACAATGCTTCTCTCTAGTTTTTAGCTGAAGATATTTCCTTTTCCACCACAGGCCTGAAAGCGCTCCTAATGTCCACACGGAGACTCTACGAAAAGAATGTTTCAAAAGTGCTCTATGAAAAGCAAGGTTAAACTCTGGGAGTTGAACACATGCCTCACAAAGAAGTTTCTGAGAAGGAATCTCTTTCCTCTTTATGTGAAGATATTCCCGTTTGCAAAGAAATCTTCACAGAGTTCCACCTATCCATGTGCAGGTTCTAGAAAAAAGAGAGTTTCGAAACTGCTCTATCCAAAGGAATGTTCAACTCTGTGAGTTGAATGCAATCATCACAGAGAAGTTTCTGAGAAGGCTTCTGTCTGGATTTTATGTGAAGATATACCCGTTTCGAACGAGGGCCACAAAGTGCTCCAAATATCCACTTGCAGATCCTACAAAAAGAGTGTTTCAAACGTGAACTATCAAAGGAAGGTTCAACTCTGGACTTTGAATGCAAACGTCACAAAGAAGTTTCTGCGAAAGCTTCTGTTCAGTTAGGTGACGTTATCCCGTTTTCAACGAAATCCTCAGGGAGTTCCAAATATCCACTTGCAGATTCTACAAAAAGTGTGTTTCAAAACTGCTCCATCCAAAGGAATGTTCAGCTCTGTGAGTTCAACTAAATCATCACAAAGTATTTTCTGAGAATGCTTCTGTCCAGTTTTTACACGAAGCTATATCCTTTACTACCTTAGGCCTCAAAGCGTTCCAAATCTCCACTTGCAGATACTACGAAAAGAGTGTTTCACCCTGAACTCACAAGGGAAGTTTCAACTCTGGGAGTTGAATGCCAACATCACGAAGAAGTTTCTGAGAATGCTTCTGTTTAGTTATGTGAGGTTTATCCCGTTTCCAACGAAATCCTCAGAGAAGTCCAAATACCCACTTGCAGATTCCACAAAAAGTGTGTTTCCAAACTGCTCCATCCAAAGCAATGTTCAGCTCTGTGGGTTGAACTCAATCGTCACAAAGTGTTTCCTGAGAATGCTACTGTCTACTTTTTATGGGCAGTGATTTCCTCTACTGCTATAGGCCTCAAAGCGGTCCAAATCTCCGCTTGCAGATTCTACCAAGAATGTGTTTCCAAACGGCTCTATCAAAGGGAATGTTCAACTCTGTGACTTGAAAGCAACCATCACAAAGTAGTTTCTGTGAATGCTTCCATCTACCTTTTAAGAGTAGATATTTCCTTTTCCACCACAGGCCTCGAAGCCCTCCAAATGTCCACTTACAGATTCTAGAAAGAGAGGGTTTCAAAGCTGCTCTATCGAAAGGAAAGTATAACTCTGTGAGTTGAATGCCATAATCACAAAGAAGTCTCTGAGCATGCTTCCGTTTAGCTTTTATGGGAAGATTATCCCTTTTCCATCGAAATCTTCAAAGAGGTCCAAATATCCGCTTGCAGATCCCACTGAAAGAGTGTTTCCAAACTGCTGTATCAAAAGGAACCTTCAACTCCGTGAGTTGAATGCAATCATCACAAAGAAGTTTCTGACAATGCTTCTCTCTAGTTTTTAGCTGAAGATATTTCCTTTTCCACCACAGGCCTGAAAGCGCTCCAAATGTCCACTTGGAGACTCTACGAAAAGAATGTTTCAAAAGTGCTCTATGAAAAGCAAGGTTAAACTCTGGGAGTTGAACACATGCCTCACACAGAAGTTTCTGAGAAGGTATCTCTTTCCTCTTTATGTGAAGATGTTCCCGTTTGCAAAGAAATCTTCACAGAGTTCCACCTATCCATGTGCAGGTTCTAGAAAAAAGAGAGTTTCGAAACTGCTCTATCCAAAGGAATGTTCAACTCTGTGAGTTGAAAGCAATCATCCCAGAGAAGTTTCTGAGAAGGCTTCTGTCTGGATTTTATGTGAAGATATAAAATTTCGAACGAGGGCCACAAAGTGCTCCAAATATCCACTTGCAGATCCTACAAAAAGAGTGTTTCAAACGTGAACTATCAAAGGAAGGTTCAACTCTGGACTTTGAATGCAAACGTCACAAAGAAGATTTGCGAAAGCTTCTGTTCAGTTAGGTGACGTTATCCCGTTTCCAACGAAATCCTCAGGGAGTTCCAAATATCCACTTGCAGATTCTACAAAAAGTGTGTTTCAAAACTGCTCCATCCAAAGGAATGTTCAGCTCTGTGAGTTCAACTAAATCATCACAAAGTATTTTCTGAGAATGCTTCTGTCCAGTTTTTACACGAAGCTATATCCTTTACTAGCTTAGGCCTCAAAGCGTTCCAAATCTCCACTTGCAGATACTACGAAAAGAGTGTTTCACCCTGAACTAACAAGAGAAGTTTCAACTCAGTGAGTTGAATGCCAACATCACGAAGAAGTTTCTGAGAATGCTTCTGTTTAGTTATGTGAGGTTTATCCCGTTTCCAACGAAATCCTCAGAGAAGTCCAAATACCCACTTGCAGATTCCACAAAAAGTGTGTTTCCAAACTGCTCCATCCAAAGCAATGTTCAGCTCTGTGGGTTGAACTCAATCGTCACAAAGTGTTTCCTGAGAATGCTACGGTCTAGTTTTTATGGGCAGCGATTTCCTGTACTGCCATAGGCCTCAAAGTGGTCCAAATCTCCGCTTGCAGATTCTACCAAGAATGTGTTTCCAAACGGCTCTATCAAAGGGAATGTTCAACTCTGTGACTTGAAAGCAACCATCACAAAGTAGTTTCTGTGAATGCTTCCATCTACCTTTTATGAGTAGATATTTCCTTTTCCACCACAGGCCTCGAAGCCCTCCAAATGTCCACTTACAGATTCTAGAAAGAGAGGGTTTCAAAGCTGTTCTATCGAAAGGAAAGTATATCTCTCTGTGTTGAATGCAAACATCACAAAGAAGTCTCTGAGCATGCTTCCGTTTAGCTTTTATGGGAAGATTATCCCTTTTCCATCGAAATCTTCAAAGAGGTCCAAATATCCGCTTGCAGATCCCACTGAAAGAGTGTTTCCAAACTGCTGTATCAAAAGGAACCTTCAACTCCGTGAGTTGAATGCAATCATCACAAAGAAGTTTCTGACAATGCTTCTCTCTAGTTTTTAGCTGAAGATATTTCCTTTTCCACCACAGGCCTGAAAGCGCTCCACATGTCCACTTGGAGACTCTACGAAAAGAATGTTTCAAAAGTGCTCTATGAAAAGCAATGTTAAACTCTGGGAGTTGAACACATGCCTCACAAAGAAGTTTCTGAGAAGGCATCTCTTTACTCTTTATGTGAAGATATTCCCGTTTGCAAAGAAATCTTCACAGAGTTCCACCTATCCATGTGCAGGTTCTAGAAAAAAGAGAGTTTCGAAACTGCTCTATCCAAAGGAATGTTCAACTCTGTGAGTTGAATGCAATCATCACAGAGAAGTTTCTGAGAAGGCTTCTGTCTGGATTTTATGTGAAGATATACCCGTTTCGAACGAGGGCCACAAAGTGCTCCAAATATCCACTTGCAGATCCTACAAAAAGAGTGTTTCAAACGTGAACTATCAAAGGAAGGTTCAACTCTGGACTTTGAATGCAAACGTCACAAAGAAGTTTCTGCGAAAGCTTCTGTTCAGTTAGGTGACGTTATCCCGTTTCCAACGAAATCCTCAGGGAGTTCCAAATATCCACTTGCAGATTCTACAAAAAGTGTGTTTCAAAACTGCTCCATCCAAAGGAATGTTCAGCTCTGTGAGTTCAACTAAATCATCACAAAGTATTTTCTGAGAATGCTTCTGTCCAGTTTTTACACGAAGCTATATCCTTTACTAGCTTAGGCCTCAAAGTGTTCCAAATCTCCCCTTGCAGATACTACGAAAAGAGTGTTTCACCCTGAACTCACAAGGGAAGTTTCAACTCTGGGAGTTGAATGCCAACATCACGAAGAAGTTTCTGAGAATGCTTCTGTTTAGTTATGTGAGGTTTATCCCGTTTCCAACGAAATCCTCAGAGAAGTCCAAATACCCACTTGCAGATTCCACAAAAAGTGTGTTTCCAAACTGCTCCATCCAAAGCAATGTTCAGCTCTGTGGGTTGAACTCAATCGTCACAAAGTGTTTCCTGAGAATGCTACGGTCTAGTTTTTATGGGCAGTGATTTCCTCTACTGCCATAGGCCTCAAAGCGGTCCAAATCTCCCCTTGCAGATTCTACCAACAGTGTGTTTCCAAACGGCTCTATCAAACGGAATGTTCAACTCTTTGAGTTGAAAGCAACCATCACAAAGTAGTTTCTGAGAATGCTTCCATCTACCTTTTATGAGTAGATATTTCCTTTTCCACCACAGGCCTCGAAGCCCTCCAAATGTCCACTTACAGATTCTAGAAAGAGAGGGTTTCAAAGCTGCTCTATCGAAAGGAATGTATAACTCTGTGAGTTGAATGCAAACATCACAAAGAAGTCTCTGAGCATGCTTCCGTTTAGCTTTTATGGGAAGATTATCCCTTTTCCATCGAAATCTCCAAAGAGGCCCAAATATCCGCTTGCAGGTCCCACTGAAAGAGTGTTTCCAAACTGCTGTATCAAAAGGAACCTTCAACTCCGTGAGTTGAATGCCATCATCACAAAGACGTTTCTGACAATGCTTCTCTCTAGTTTTGAGGTGAAGATATTTCCTTTTCCACCACAGGCCTGAAAGCGCTCCAAACGTCCACTTGGAGACTCTACGAAAAGAATGTTTCAAAACTGCTCTATGAAAAGCAAGGTTAAAGTCTGGGAGTTGAACACATGCCTCACAAAGAAGTTTCTGAGAAGGCATCTCTTTCCTCTTTATGTGAAGATATTCCCGTTTGCAAAGAAATCTTCACAGAGTTCCAACTGTCCATGTGTAGGTTCTAGAAAAAAGAGAGTTTCGAAACTGCTCTATCCAAAGGAATGTTCAACTCTGTGAGTTGAATGCAATCATCACAGAGAAGTTTCTGAGAAGGCTTCTGTCTGGATTTTATGTGAAGATATACCCGTTTCGAACGAGGGCCACAAAGTGCTCCAAATATCCACTTGCAGATCCTACAAAAAGAGTGTTTCAAACGTGAACTATCAAAGGAAGGTTCAACTCTGGACTTTGAATGCAGACGTCACAAAGAAGTTTCTGCGAAAGCTTCTGTTCAGTTAGGTGACGTTATCCCGTTTCCAACGAAATCCTCAGGGAGTTCCAAATATCCACTTGCAGATTCTACAAAAAGTGTGTTTCAAAACTGCTCCATCCAAAGGAATGTTCAGCTCTGTGAGTTCAACTAAATCATCACAAAGTGTTTTCTGAGAATGCTTCTGTCCAGTTTTTACACGAAGCTATATCCTTTACTACCTTAGGCCTCAAAGCGTTCCAAATCTCCACTTGCAGATACTACAAAAAGAGTGTTTCACCCTGAACTCACAAGGGAAGTTTCAACTCTGGGAGTTGAATGCCAACATCACGAAGAAGTTTCTGAGAATGCTTCTGTTTAGTTATGTGAGGTTTATCCCGTTTCCAACGAAATCCTCAGAGAAGTCCAAATACCCACTTGCAGATTCCACAAAAAGTGTGTTTCCAAACTGCTCCATCCAAAGCAATGTTCAGCTCTGTGGGTTGAACTCAATCGTCACAAAGTGTTTCCTGAGAATGCTACGGTCTAGTTTTTATGGGCAGTGATTTCCTCTACTGCCATAGGCCTCAAAGCGGTCCAAATCTCCCCTTGCAGATTCTACCAAAAGTGTGTTTCCAAACGGCTCTATCAAAGGGAATGTTCAACTCTGTGAGTTGAAAGCAACCATCACAAAGTAGTTTCTGAGAATGCTTCCATCTACCTTTTATGAGTAGATATTTCCTTTTCCACCACAGGCCTCGAAGCCCTCCAAATGTCCACTTACAGATTCTAGAAAGAGAGGGTTTCAAAGCTGCTCTATCGAAAGGAAAGTATAACTCTGTGAGTTGAATGCAAACATCACAAAGAAGTCTCTGAGCATGCTTCCGTTTAGCTTTTATGGGAAGATTATCCCTTTTCCATCGAAATCTTCAAAGAGGTCCAAATATCCGCTTGCAGATCACACTGAAAGAGTGTTTCCAAACTGCTGTATCAAAAGGAACCTTCAACTCCGTGAGTTGAATGCAATCATCACAAAGAAGTTTCTGACAATGCTTCTCTCTAGTTTTTAGCTGAAGATATTTCCTTTTCCACCACAGGCCTGAAAGCGCTCCAAATGTCCACTTGGAGACTTTACGAAAAGAATGTTTCAAAAGTGCTCTATGAAAAGCAAGGTTAAACTCTGGGAGTTGAACACATGCCTCACAAAGAAGTTTCTGAGAAGGTATCTCTTTACTCTTTATGTGAAGATATTCCCGTTTGCAAAGAAATCTTCACAGATTTCCACCTATCCATGTGCAGGTTCTAGAAAAAAGAGAGTTTCGAAACTGCTCTATCCAAAGGAATGTTCAACTCTGTGAGTTGAATGCAATCATCACAGAGAAGTTTCTGAGAAGGCTTCTGTCTGGATTTTATGTGAAGATATAAAATTTCGAACGAGGGCCACAAAGTGCTCCAAATATCCACTTGCAGATCCTACAAAAAGAGTGTTTCAAACGTGAACTATCAAAGGAAGGTTCAACTCTGGACTTTGAATGCAAACGTCACAAAGAAGATTTGCGAAAGCTTCTGTTCAGTTAGGTGACGTTATCCCGTTTCCAACGAAATCCTCAGGGAGTTCCAAATATCCACTTGCAGATTCTACAAAAAGTGTGTTTCAAAACTGCTCCATCCAAAGGAATGTTCAGCTCTGTGAGTTCAACTAAATCATCACAAAGTATTTTCTGAGAATGCTTCTGTCCAGTTTTTACACGAAGCTATATCCTTTACTAGCTTAGGCCTCAAAGCGTTCCAAATCTCCACTTGCAGATACTACGAAAAGAGTGTTTCACCCTGAACTAACAAGAGAAGTTTCAACTCAGTGAGTTGAATGCCAACATCACGAAGAAGTTTCTGAGAATGCTTCTGTTTAGTTATGTGAGGTTTATCCCGTTTCCAACGAAATCCTCAGAGAAGTCCAAATACCCACTTGCAGATTCCACAAAAAGTGTGTTTCCAAACTGCTCCATCCAAAGCAATGTTCAGCTCTGTGGGTTGAACTCAATCGTCACAAAGTGTTTCCTGAGAATGCTACGGTCTAGTTTTTATGGGCAGTGATTTCCTCTACTGCCATAGGCCTCAATGCGGTCCAAATCTCCCCTTGCAGATTCTACCAACAGTGTGTTTCCAAACGGCTCTATCAAAGGGAATGTTCAACTCTGTGAGTTGAAAGCAACCATCACAAAGTAGTTTCTGAGAATGCTTCCATCTACCTTTTATGAGTAGATATTTCCTTTTCCACCACAGGCCTCGAAGCCCTCCAAATGTCCACTTACAGATTCTAGAAAGAGAGGGTTTCAAAGCTGCTCTATCGAAAGGAATGTATAACTCTGTGAGTTGAATGGAAACATCACAAAGAAGTCTCTGAGCATGCTTCCATTTAGCTTTTATGGGAAGATTATCCCTTTTCCATCGAAATCTTCAAAGAGGTCCAAGTATCCGCTTGCAGGTCCCTCTGAAAGAGTGTTTCCAAGCTGCTGTATCAAAAGGAGCCTTCCACTCCGTGAGTTGAATGCAGTCATCACAAAGAAGAAGTTTCTGACAATGCTTCTTTCTAGTTTTTAGCTGAAGATATTTCCTTTTCCACCACAGGCCTGAAAGCACTCCACATGTCCACTTGGAGACTCTACGAAAAGAATGTTTCAAAAGTGCTCTATGAAAAGCAAGGTTAAACTCTGGGAGTTGAACACATGCCTCACAAAGAAGTTTCTGAGAAGGCATCTGTTTACTCTTTATGTGAAGATATTCCCGTTTGCAAAGAAATCTTCACAGAGTTCCACCTATCCATGGGCAGATTCTAGAGAAACAGAGTTTCGAAACTGCTCTGTCCAAAGGAATGTTCAACTCTCTGAGTTCAATGCAATCATCACAGAGAGGTTTCTGAGAAGGCTTCTGTCTGGATTTTATGTGAAAATATACCCGTTTCTAACAAAGGCCACAAAGTGCTCCAAATATCCACTTGCAGATCCTACAAAAAGAGTGTTTCAAACGTGAGCTATCGAAGGAAGGTTCAACTCTGGACTTTGAATGCAAACGTCCCAAAGAAGATTCTGCGAAAGCTTCTGTTTAGTTAGGTGACCTTATCCCGTTTCCAACGAAATCCTCAGAGAGGTCCAAATATCCACTTGCAGATGCTACAAAAAGTGTGTTTCAAAACTGCTCCATCCAAAGGAATGTTCAGCTCTGTGAGTTACACTCAAACATCACAAAGTATTTTCTGAGAATGCTTCTGTCCAGTTTTTACTCGAAGCTATTTCCTTTACTACCGTAGGCCACAAAGCGTTCCAAATCTCCACTTGCAGATACTACGAAAAGAGTGTTTCAACCTGAACTCACAAGGGACGGTTCAACTCTCTAAGTTGAATGCCAACATCACGAAGAAGTTCCTGACAATGCTTCTGTTTAGTTATGTGAGGTTTATCCCGTTTCCAACGAAATCCTCAGAGAAGTCCAAATACCCACTTGCAAATTCCAAAAAAGTGTTTTTCGAAACTGCTCCATCCAAAGCAATGTTCAGCTCTGTGGGTTGAACTCAATCGTCACAAAGTGTTTCCTGAGAATGCTACTGTCTACTTTTTATGGGCAGTGATTTCCTCTATTGCCATAGGCCTCAAAGCGGTCCAAATCTCCCCTTGCAGATTCTACCAAGAGTGTGTTTCCAAACGGCTCTATCAAAGGGAATATTCAACTCTGTGAGTTGAAAGCAACCATCACAAAGTGGTTTCTGAGAACGCTTCCATTTACCTTTTATGAGTAGATATTTCCTTTTCCACCACAGGCCTCGAAGCCCTCCAAATGTCCACTTACAGATTCTAGAAAGAGAGGGTTTCAAAGCTGCTCTATAGAAAGGAACGTATAACTCTGTGAGTTGAATGCAAACATCACAAAGAAGTCTCTGAGCATGCTTCCGTTTAGCTTTTATGGTAAGATTATACCTTTTCCATCGAAATCTTCACAGAGGGCCAAATATCCGCTTGCAGATCCCACTGAAAGAGTGTTTCCAAACTTCTGTATCAAAAGGAATCTTGAACTCCGTGAGTTGAATGCAATCATCACAAAGAAGTTTCTGACAATGCTTCTCTCTAGTTTTTAGCTGAAAATATTTCCTTTTCCACCACAGGCCTGAAAGCGCTCCAAATGTCCACTTGGAGACTCTACGAAAAGAATGTTTCAAAAGTGCTCTATGAAAAGCAAGGTTAAACTCTGGGAGTTGAACACATGCCTCACAAAGAAGTTTCTGAGAAGGCATCTCTTTACTCTTTATGTGAAGATATTCCCGTTTGCAAAGATATCTTCACAGAGTTCCACCTATCCATGTGCAGGTTCTAGAAAAAAGAGAGTTTCGAAACTGCTCTATCCAAAGGAATGTTCAACTCTGTGAGTTGAATGCAATCATCACAGAGAAGTTTCTGAGAAGGCTTCTGTCTGGATTTTATGTGAAGATATACCCGTTTCGAACGAGGGCCACAAAGTGCTCCAAATATCCACTTGCAGATCCTACAAAAAGAGTGTTTCAAACGTGAACTATCAAAGGAAGGTTCAACTCTGGAGTTTGAATGCAAACGTCACAAAGAAGTTTCTGCGAAAGCTTCTGTTCAGTTAGGTGACGTTATCCCGTTTCCAACGAAATCCTCAGGGAGTTCCAAATATCCACTTGCAGATTCTACAAAAAGTGTGTTTCAAAACTGCTCCATCCAAAGGAATGTTCAGCTCTGTGAGTTCAACTAAACCATCACAAAGTATTCTCTGAGAATGCTTCTGTCCAGTTTTCACACGAAGCTATATCCTTTACTACCTTAGGCCTCAAAGCGTTCCAAATCTCCACTTGCAGATACTACGAAAAGAGTGTTTCACCCTGAACTCACAAGGGAAAGTTCAACTCTGGGAGTTGAATGCCAACATCACGAAGAAGTTTCTGAGAATGCTTCTGTTTAGTTATGTGAGGTTTATCCCGTTTCCAACGAAATCCTCAGAGAAGTCCAAATACCCACTTGCAGATTCCACAAAAAGTGTGTTTCCAAACTGCTCCATCCAAAGCAATGTTCAGCTCTGTGGGTTGAACTCAATCGTCACAAAGTGTTTCCTGAGAATGCTACGGTCTAGTTTTTATGGGCAGTGATTTCCTCTACTGCCATAGGCCTCAAAGCGGTCCAAATCTCCCCTTGCAGATTCTACCAACAGTGTGTTTCCAAACGGCTCTATCAAAGGGAATGTTCAACTCTGTGAGTTGAAAGCAACCATCACAAAGTAGTTTCTGAGAATGCTTCCATCTAGCTTTTATGAGTAGATAGTTCCTTTTCCACCACAGGCCTCGAAGCCCACCAAATGTCCACTTGCAGATTCTAGAAAGAGAGGGTTTCAAAGCTGCTCTGTCGAAAGGAAAGTACAACTCTGTGAGTTGAATGCAAACATCACCAAGAAGGCTCTGAGCACGCTTCCGTTTAGCTTTTATGGGAAGATTATCCCTTTTCCATCGAAATCTTCAAAGAGGTCCAAATATCCGCTTGCAGTTCCCACCGAAAGAGTGTTTCCAAACTGCTGTATCAAAAGGAACCTTCAACTCCGTGAGTTGAATGCAATCATCACAAAGAAGTTTCTGACAATGCTTCTCTCTAGTTTTTAGCTGAAGATATTTCCTTTTCCACCACAGGCCTGAAAGCGCTCCAAATGTCCACTTGGAGACTCTACGAAAAGAATGTTTCAAAAGTGCTCTATGAAAAGCAAGGTTAAACTCTGGGAGTTGAACACATGCCTCACAAAGAAGTTTCTGAGAAGGCATCTCTTTACTCTTTATGTGAAGATATTCCCTTTTGCAAAGAAATCTTCACAGAGTTCCACCTATCCATGTGCAGGTTCTAGAAAAAAGAGAGTTTCGAAACTGCTCTATCCAAAGGAATGTTCAACTCTGTGAGTTGAATGCAATCATCACAGAGAAGTTTCTGAGAAGGCTTCTGTCTGGATTTTATGTGAAGATATACCCGTTTCGAACGAGGGCCACAAAGTGCTCCAAATATCCACTTGCAGATCCTACAAAAAGAGTGTTTCAAACGTCAACTATCAAAGGAAGGTTCAACTCTGGACTTTGAATGCAAACGTCACAAAGAAGTTTCTGCGAAAGCTTCTGTTCAGTTAGGTGACGTTATCCCGTTTCCAACGAAATCCTCAGGGAGTTCCAAATATCCACTTGCAGATTCTACAAAAAGTGTGTTTCAAAACTGCTCCATCCAAAGGAATGTTCAGCTCTGTGACTTCAACTAAATCATCACAAAGTGTTTTCTGAGAATGCTTCTGTCCAGTTTTTACACGAAGCTATATCCTTTACTACCTTAGGCCTCAAAGCGTTCCAAATCTCCACTTGCAGATACTACGAAAAGAGTGTTTCACCCTGAACTCACAAGGGAAGTTTCAAATCTGGGAGTTGAATGCCAACATCACGAAGAAGTTTCTGAGAATGCTTCCGTTTAGTTATGTGAGGTTTATCCCGTTTCCAATGAAATCCTCAGAGAAGTCCATATACCCACTTGCAGATTCCACAAAAAGTGTGTTTCCAAACTGCTCCATCCAAAGCAATGTTCAGCTCTGTGGGTTGAACTCAATCGTCACAAAGTGTTTCCTGAGAATGCTACTGTCTAGATTTCATGGGCAGTGATTTCCTCTACTGCCATAGGCTTCAAAGCGGTCCAAATCTCCCCTTGCAGATTCTACCAAAAGTGCGTTTCCAAACGGCTCTACCAAAGGGAATGTTCAACTCTGTGACTTGAAAGGAATCATCAAAATGTAGTTTCGGAGAATGCTTCCATCTAGCTTTTATGAGGAGATATTTCCTTTTCCACCACAGGCCTCGAAGCCCTCCAAATGTCCACTTGCAGATTCTAGAAAGAGAGGGTTTCAAAGCTGCTCTATGAAAAGGAAAGTACAACTCTGGGATTTGAATGCAAACATCAGAAAGAAGTCTCTGAGCATGCTTCCGTTTAGCTTTTATGGGAAGATTATCCCTTTTCCATCGAAATCTTCAAAGAGGTCCAAATATCCGCTTGCAGATCCCACAAAAAGAGTGTTTCCAAACTGCTGTATCAAAAGGAACCTTCAACTCCGTGAGTTGAATGCAATCATCACAAAGAAGTTTCTGACAATGCTTCTCTCTAGTTTTTAGCTGAAGATATTTCCTTTTCCACCACAGGCCTGAAAGCACTCCAAATGTCCACACGGAGACTCTACGAAAAGAATGTTTCAAAACTGCTCTATTGAAAGCAAGGTTAAACTCTGGGAGTTGAACACATGCCTCACAAAGAAGTTTCTGAGAAGGCATCTCTTTACTCTTTATGTGAAGATATTCCCGTTTGCAAAGAAATCTTCACAGAGTTCCACCTATCCATGTGCAGGTTCTAGAAAAAAGAGAGTTTCCAAACTGCTCTATCCAAAGGAATGTTCAACTCTGTGAGTTGAATGCAATCATCACAGAGAAGTTTCTGAGAAGGCTTCTGTCTGGATTTTATGTGAAGATATACCCGTTTCGAACGAGGGCCACAAAGTGCTCCAAATATCCACTTGCAGATCCTACAAAAAGAGTGTTTCAAACGTGAAGTATCAAAGGAAGGTTCAACTCTGGACTTTGAATGCAAACGTCACAAAGAAGTTTCTGCGAAAGCTTCTGTTCAGTTAGGTGACGTTATCCCGTTTTCAACGAAATCCTCAGGGAGTTCCAAATATCCACTTGCAGATTCTACAAAAAGTGTGTTTCAAAACTGCTCCATCCAAAGGAATGTTCAGCTCTGTGAGTTCAACTAAATCATCACAAAGTATTTTCTGAGAATGCTTCTGTCCAGTTTTTACACGAAGCTATATCCTTTACTACCTTAGGCCTCAAAGCGTTCCAAATCTCCACTTGCAGATACTACGAAAAGAGTGTTTCACCCTGAACTCACAAGGGAAGTTTCAACTCTGGGAGTTGAATGCCAACATCACGAAGAAGTTTCTGAGAATGCTTCTGTTTAGTTATGTGAGGTTTATCCCGTTTCCAACGAAATCCTCAGAGAAGTCCAAATACCCACTTGCAGATTCCACAAAAAGTGTGTTTCCAAACTGCTCCATCCAAAGCAATGTTCAGCTCTGTGGGTTGAACTCAATCGTCACAAAGTGTTTCCTGAGAATGCTACGGTCTAGTTTTTATGGGCAGTGATTTCCTCTACTGCCATAGGCCTCAAAGCGGTCCAAATCTCCCCTTGCAGATTCTACCAACAGTGTGTTTCCAAACGGCTCTATCAAACGGAATGTTCAACTCTTTGAGTTGAAAGCAACCATCACAAAGTAGTTTCTGAGAATGCTTCCATCTACCTTTTATGAGTAGATATTTCCTTTTCCACCACAGGCCTCGAAGCCCTCCAAATGTCCACTTACAGATTCTAGAAAGAGAGGGTTTCAAAGCTGCTCTATCGAAAGGAATGTATAACTCTGTGAGTTGAATGCAAACATCACAAAGAAGTCTCTGAGCATGCTTCCGTTTAGCTTTTATGGGAAGATTATCCCTTTTCCATCGAAATCTTCAAAGAGGTCCAAATATCCGCTTGCAGATCCCACTGAAAGAGTGTTTCCAAACTGCTGTATCAAAAGGCACCTTCAACTCCGTGAGTTGAATGCAATCATCACAAAGAAGTTTCTGACAATGCTTCTCTCTAGTTTTTAGCTGAAGATATTTCCTTTTCCACCACAGGCCTGAAAGCACTCCAAATGTCCACTTGGAGACTCTACGAAAAGAATGTTTCAAAAGTGCTCTATGAAAAGCAAGGTTAAACTCTGGGTGTTGAACACATGCCTCACAAAGAAGTTTCTGAGAAGGCATCTGTTTACTCTTTATGTGAAGATATTCCCGTTTGCAAAGAAATCTTCACAGAGTTCCACCTATCCATGTGCAGATTCCAGAGAAACAGAGTTTCGCAACTGATCTATCCAAAGGAATGTTCAACCCTCTGAGTTGAACGCAATCATCACAGAGAGGTTTCTGAGAAGGCTTCTGTCTGGATTTTATGTGAAGATATAAAATTTCGAACGAGGGCCACAAAGTGCTCCAAATATCCACTTGCAGATCCTACAAAAAGAGTGTTTCAAACGTGAACTATCAAAGGAAGGTTCAACTCTGGACTTTGAATGCAAACGTCACAAAGAAGATTTGCGAAAGCTTCTGTTCAGTTAGGTGACGTTATCCCGTTTCCAATGAAATCCTCAGGGAGTTCCAAATATCCACTTGCAGATTCTACAAAAAGTGTGTTTCAAAACTGCTCCATCCAAAGGAATGTTCAGCTCTGTGAGTTCAACTAAATCATCACAAAGTATTTTCTGAGAATGCTTCTGTCCAGTTTTTACACGAAGCTATATCCTTTACTACCTTAGGCCTCAAAGCGTTCCAAATCTCCACTTGCAGATACTACGAAAAGAGTGTTTCACCCTGAACTCACAAGGGAAGTTTCAACTCTGGGAGTTGAATGCCAACATCACGAAGAAGTTTCTGAGAATGCTTCTGTTTAGTTATGTGAGGTTTATCCCGTTTCCAACGAAATCCTCAGAGAAGTCCAAATACCCACTTGCAGATTCCACAAAAAGTGTGTTTCCAAACTGCTCCATCCAAAGCAATGTTCAGCTCTGTGGGTTGAACTCAATCGTCACAAAGTGTTTCCTGAGAATGCTACGGTCTAGTTCTTATGGGCAGTGATTTCCTCTACTGCCATAGGCCTCAAAGCGGTCCAAATCTCCCCTTGCAGATTCTACCAAAAGTGTGTTTCCAAACGGCTCTATCAAAGGGAATGTTCAACTCTGTGAGTTGAAAGCAACCATTACATAGTAGTTTCTGAGAATGCTTCCATCTACCTTTTATGAGTAGATATTTCCTTTTCCACCACAGGCCTCGAAGCCCTCCAAATGTCCACTTACAGATTCTAGAAAGAGAGGGTTTCAAAGCTGTTCTATCGAAAGGAAAGTATAACTCTGTGAGTTGAATGCAAACATCACAAAGAAGTCTCTGAGCATGCTTCCGTTTAGCTTTTATGGGAAGATTATCCCTTTTCCATCGAAATCTTCAAAGAGGTCCAAATATCCGCTTGCAGTTCCCACCGAAAGAGTGTTTCCAAACTGCTGTATCAAAAGGAACCTACAACTCTGTGAGTTGAATGCAATCATGACAAAGAAGTTTCTGACAATGCTTCTGTCTATTTTTTAGCTGAAGATATTTCCTTTTCCTCCACAGGCCTGAAAGCGCTCCAAATGTCCACTTGGAGACTCTACGAAAAGAATGTTTCAAAACTGCTCTATGAAAAGCAAGGTTAAACTCTGGGAGTTGAACACATGCCTCACAAAGAAGTTTCTGAGAAGGCATCTCTTTACTCTTTATGTGAAGATATTCCCGTTTGCAAAGAAATCTTCACAGAGTTCCACCTATCCATGTGTAGGTTCTAGAAAAAAGAGAGTTTCGAAACCGCTCTATCCAAAGGAATGTTCAACTCTGTGAGTTGAATGCAATCATCACAGAGAAGTTTCTGAGAAGGCTTCTGTCTAGATTTTATGTGAAGATATACCCGTTTCGAACGAAGGCCACAAAGTGCTCCAAATATCCACTTGCAGATCCTTCAAAAAGAGTGTTTCAAAAGTGAACTATCAAAGGAAGGTTCAACTCTGGGCTTTGAATGCAAACATCACAAAGAAGTTTCTGCGAAAGCTTCTGTTCAGTTAGGTGACGTTATCCCGTTTCCAACGAAATCCTCAGGGAGTTCCAAATATCCACTTGCAGATTCTACAAAAAGTGTGTTTCAAAACTGCTCCATCCAAAGGAATGTGCAGCTCTGTGAGTTCAACTAAATCATCACAAAGTATTTTCTGAGAATGCTTCTGTCCAGTTTTTACACGAAGCTATATCCTTTACTACCTTAGGCCTCAAAGCGTTCCAAATCTCCACTTGCAGATACTACGAAAAGAGTGTTTCACCCTGAACTCACAAGGGAAGTTTCAAATCTGGGAGTTGAATGCCAACATCACGAAGAAGTTTCTGAGAATGCTTCTGTTTAGTTATGTGAGGTTTATCCCGTTTCCAATGAAATCCTCAGAGAAGTCCAAATATCCACTTGCAGATTCCACAAAAAGTGTGTTTCCAAACTGCTCCATCCAAAGCAATGTTCAGCTCTGTGGGTTGAACTCAATCGTCACAAAGTGTTTCCTGAGAATGCTACGGTCTAGTTTTTATGGGCAGTGATTTCATCTACTGCCATAGGCCTCAAAGCGGTCCAAATCTCCCCTTGCAGATTCTACCAAAAGTGTGTTTCCAAACGGCTCTATCAAACGGAATGTTCAACTCTGTGAGTTGAAAGCAACCATCACAAAGTAGTTTCTGAGAATGCTTCCATCTACCTTTTATGAGTAGATATTTCCTTTTCCACCACAGGCCTCGAAGCCCTCCAAATGTCCACTTACAGATTCTAGAAAGAGAGGGTTTAAAGCTGCTCTATGGAAATGAAAGTATAACTCTGTGAGTTGAATGCAAACATCACAAAGAAGTCTCTGAGCATGCTTCCGTTTAGCTTTTATGGGAAGATTATCCCTTTTCCATCGAAATCTTCAAAGAAGTCCAAATATCCGCTTGCAGATCCCACTGAAAGAGTGTTTCCAAACTGCTGTATCAAAAGGAACCTTCAACTTCGTGAGTTGAATGCAATCATCACAAAGAAGTTTCTGACAATGCTTCTCTCTAGTTTTTAGCTGAAGATATTTCCTTTTCCACCACAGGCCTGAAAGCGCTCCTAATGTCCACACGGAGACTCTACGAAAAGAATGTTTCAAAAGTGCTCTATGAAAAGCAAGGTTAAACTCTGGGAGTTGAACACATGCCTCACAAAGAAGTTTCTGAGAAGGAATCTCTTTACTCTTTATGTGAAGATATTCCAGTTTGCAAAGAAATCTTCACAGAGTTCCACCTATCCATGTGCAGGTTCTAGAAAAAAGAGAGTTTCGAAACTGCTCTCTCCAAAGGAATGTTCAACTCTGTGAGTTGAATGCAATCATCACAGAGAAGTTTCTGAGAAGGCTTCTGTCTGGATTTTATGTGAAGGTATACCCTTTTCGAACGAAGGCCACAAAGTGCTCCAAATATCCACCTGCAGATCCTACAAAAAGAGTGTTTCAAACGTGAGCTATCGAAGGAAGGTTCAACTCTGGACTTTGAATGCAAACGTCCCAAAGAAGTTTCTGCGAAAGCTTCTGTTTAATTAGGTGACATTATCCCGTTTCCAACGAAATCCTCAGAGAGGTCCAAATATCCACTTGCAGATGCTACAAAAAGTGTGTTTCAAAACTCCTCCATCCAAAGGAATGTTCAGCTCTGTGAGTTACACTCAATCATCACAAAGTATTTTCTGAGAATGCTTCTGTCCAGTTTTTACTCGAAGCTATTTCCATTACTACCGTAGGCCACAAAGCGTTCCAAATCTCCACTTGCAGATACTACGAAAAGAGAGTTTCATCCTGATCTCACAAGGGACGGTTCAACTCTCTGAGTTGAATGCCAACATCACGAAGAAGTTCCTGACAATGCTTATGTTTAGTTATGTGAGGTTTATCCCGTTTCCAACGAAATCCTCAGAGAAGTCCAAATACCCACTTGCAGATTCCACAAAAAGTGTGTTTCCAAACTGCTCCATCCAAAGCAATGTTCAGCTCTGTGGGTTGAACTCAATCGTCACAAAGTGTTTCCTGAGAATGCTACGGTCTAGTTTTTATGGGCAGTGATTTCCTCTACTGCCATAGGCCTCAAAGCGGTCCAAATCTCCCCTTGCAGATTCTACCAAAAGTGTGTTTCCAAACGGCTCTATCAAACGGAATGTTCAACTCTGTGAGTTGAAAGCAACCATCACAAAGTAGTTTCTGAGAATGCTTCCATCTACCTTTTATGAGTAGATATTTCCTTTTCCACCACAGGCCTCGAAGCCCTCCAAATGTCCACTTACAGATTCTAGAAAGAGAGGGTTTAAAGCTGCTCTATGGAAATGAAAGTATAACTCTGTGAGTTGAATGCAAACATCACAAAGAAGTCTCTGAGCATGCTTCCGTTTAGCTTTTATGGGAAGATTATCCCTTTTCCATCGAAATCTTCAAAGAAGTCCAAATATCCGCCTGCAGATCCCACTGAAATAGTGTTTCCAAACTGCTGTATCAAAAGGAACCTTCAACTTCGTGAGTTGAATGCAATCATCACAAAGAAGGTTCTGACAATGCTTCTCTCTAGTTTTTAGCTGAAGATATTTCCTTTTCCACCACAGGCCTGAAAGCGCTCCAAATGTCCACTTGGAGACTCTACGAAAAGAATGTTTCAAAACTGCTCTATGAAAAGCAAGGTTAAACTCTGGGTGTTGAACACATGCCTCACAAAGAAGTTTCTGAGAAAGCATCTCTTTACTCTTTACGTGAAGATATTCCCGTTTGCAAAGAAATCTTCACAGAGTTCCACCTATCCATGTGCAGGTTCTAGAAAAAAGAGAGTTTCGAAACTGCTCTATCCAAAGGAATGTTCAACTCTGTGAGTTGAATGCAATCATCACAGAGAAGTTTCTGAGAAGGCTTCTGTCTGGATTTTATGTGAAGATATACCCATTTCGAACGAAGGCCACAAAGTGCTCCCAATATCCACTTGCAGATCCTACAAAAAGAGTGTTTCCAACGTGAACTATCAAGGGAAGGTTCAACTCTGGACTTTGAATGCAAACGTCACAAAGAAGTTTCTGCGAAAGCTTCTGTTCAGTTAGGTGACGTTATCCCGTTTCCAATGAAATCCTCAGGGAGTTCCAAATATCCACTTGCAGATTCTACAAAAAGTGTGTTTCAAAACTGCTCCATCCAAAGGAATGTTCAGCTCTGTGAGTTCAACTAAATCATCACAAAGTATTTTGTGAGAATGCTTCTGTCCAGTTTTTACACGAAGCTATATCCTTTACTACCTTAGGCCTCAAAGCGTTCCAAATCTCCACTTGCAGATACTACGAAAAGAGTGTTTCACCCTGAACTCACAAGGGAAGTTTCAAATCTGGGAGTTGAATGCCAACATCACGAAGAAGTTTCTGAGAATGCTTCTGTTTAGTTAGGTGAGGTTTATCCCGTTTCCAACGAAATCCTTAGAGAAGTCCAAATATCTACTTGCAGATCCTACAAAAAGTGTGTTTCGAAACTGCTCCATCCAAAGGAATGTTCAGCTCTGTGAGTTGAACTCAATCGTCACAAAGTGTTTCCTGAGAATGCTGCTGTCTAGTTTTTATGGGCAGTGATTTCCTCTACTGCCATAGGCCTCAAAGCGGTCCAAATCTCCCCTTGCCGATTCTACCAAAAGTGTGTCTCCAAACAGCTCTATCAAAGGGAATGTTCAACTCTGTGACCTGAAAGCAATCATCACAAAGTAGTTTCTGAGAATGCTTCCATCTAGCCTTTATGAGTAGATATTTCCTTTTCCACCACAGGCCTCGAAGCCCTCCAAATGTCCACTTGCAGATTCTAGAAATAGAGGGTTTCATAGCTGCTCTATCTAAAGGAAAGTACAACTCTGTGAGTTGAATGCAAACATCACAAAGAAGGCTCTGAGCATACTTCCATTTAGCTTTTATGGGAAGATTATCCCTTTTCCATCGAAATCTTCAAAGAGGTCCAAGTATCCGCTTGCAGGTCCCTCTGAAAGAGTGTTTCCAAGCTGCTGTATCAAAAGGAGCATTCCACTCCGTGAGTTGAATGCAGTCATCACAAAGAAGAAGTCTCTGACAATGCTTCTCTCTAGTTTTTATGTGAAGATATTTCCTTTTCCACCACAGGCCTGAAAGCGCAACAAATGTCCACTTGGAGACTCTACGAAAAGAATGTTTCAAAACTGTTCTATGAAAAGCAAGGTTAAACTCTGGGAGTTGAACACATGCCTCACAAAGAAGTTTCTGAGAAGGCATTCTCTTTCCTCTTTCTGTGAAGATATTCCCGTTTGCAAAGAAATCTTCACAGAGTTCCACCTGTCCATGTGCAGGTTCTAGAAAAAAGAGAGTTTCGAAACTGCTCTATCCAAAGGAAAGTTCAACTCTGTGAGTTGAATGCAATCATCACAGAGAAGTTTCTGAGAAGGCTTCTGTCTGGATTTTATGTGAAGATATACCCGTTTCGAACGAGGGCCACAAAGTGCTCCAAATATCCACTTGCAGATCCTACAAAAAGAGTGATTCAAACTTGAACTATCAAAGGAAGGTTCAACTCTGGACTTTGAATGCAAACGTCACAAAGAAGTTTCTGCGAAAGCTTCTGTTCAGTTAGGTGACGTTATCCCGTTTCCAACGAAATCCTCAGGGAGTTCCAAATATCCACTTGCAGATTCTACAAAAAGTGTGTTTCATAACTGCTACATCCAAAGGAATGTTCAACTCTGTGAGTTCAACTAAATCATCACAAAGTATTTTCTGAGAATGCTTCTGTCCAGTTTTCACACGAAGCTATATCCTTTACTACCTTAGGCCTCAAAGCGTTCCAAATCTCCACTTGCAGATACTACGAAAAGAGTGTTTCACCCTGAACTCACAAGGGAAGTTTCAACTCTGGGAGTTGAATGCCAACATCACGAAGAAGTTTCTGAGAATGCTTCTGTTTAGTTCTGTGAGGTTTATCCCATTTCCAAGGAAATCCTCAGAGAAGTCCAAACACCCACTTGCAGATTCTACAAAAAGTGTGTTTCGAAACTGCTCCATCCAAAACAATGTTCAGCTCTGTGGGTTGAACTCAATCGTCACAAAGTGTTTCCTGAGAATGCT